>NC_000006.12:13090303-13241818 GCF_000001405.40 Homo sapiens
CCAAAGTGTTGGGATTACAGGCATGAGCCACCCCACCCCATCCAGCCAGCACTGCATTGTTGACTTCTACTAAAGTTGTTCTTTAGTAGTTGGCTTACTGCAACCTCTGCCTCCCAGGTTCACGCCATTCTCCTGCCTCAGCCTCCCGAGTAGCTGGGACTATAGGTGCCCGCCACCATGCCCGGCTAATTTTTGTATGTTTAGTAGAGAGGGGTTTCACTATGTTGGTCAGACTGGTCTTGAACTCCTGACCTCTTGATCCACCTACCTCGTCCTCCCAAAGTGATGGGATTACAGGCGTGAGCCACCATGCCCGGCCTAAAGTTGTTCATTTTTATCCCTGCAAGTTTCCCTTCAGAGTAACATCCCCAAGATGACTATACTGGACCAAACCTGGCCTCTTAGGTCAGCCAGCAATTGGCCTTGAATACTGCAGCTGTAATTCACTGAGTTTGTTTTTTTAGTAAAATGAGATGAGAATAAGAACACAGCCTAGGGCAGCGGTCCCAAGCCTTTTGTTGTTTGGAAGACAACATTTCTGCAGACTGGGGGCAGCAGATGATTTTAGGATGATTTAAGCACATTACATTTATTGTACACTTTATTTCTATTATTATTACATTGTAATATATAATGAAATAATTATACAACTCACCATAAAGTAGAATCAGTGGGAGCCCTGAGCTTGTTTTTATTTTCTTTTTTTTGAGGGGCAGGGTGGGGTGGGGTGCAGAATTTCACTCTGTTGCCCAGGCTGGAGTGCAATGGCGCATCTCGGCTCACTGCAACCTCTGCCTCCTGGGTTCAAGCAGTTTTCCTGCCTCAGCCTCCCAAGTAGCTGGGATTACAGGCACCCGGCTAATTTTTGTATTTTTAGTAGAGACGGGTTTTCACCACGTTGTCCAGGCTGGTCTTGAATTCCTGACCTCGGGTGATCCACCCACCTCAGCCTCCCAAAGTGTTGGGATTACAGGCATGAGCCACTGTGCCTGGCCGGCACTGCATTGTTAACTTCTACTAAAGTTGTTGAGTAACGTCCCCAAGATGACTATATTGGACCAAACTTGGCCTCTTAGGTCAGCCAGCATTTGGCCTTGAATACTACAGCTGTAGTTCACTGAGTTTGTTCTTTAGTGACGTGAGACAAGAATGAGAACATAGCTTAGAGCAGCGGTCCCCAGCTTTTTTGGCACCAGGGACCAGTTGTGTGGAAGACAATTTTTCTGCCAAATGGGGGTAGCAGATGGTTTTAGGATGATTTAAGCACATTACATCTATTGTACACTTTATTTCTATTATTATTACATTGTAATATATAATGAAATAATTATACAACTCACCATAATGTAGAATCAGTGGGAGCCCTGAGCTTGTTTTTCTACAACTAGTCACTCCCATCTGGTGGTAATGGGAGACAGTGACAGATCATCAGGAATTAGATTCTCATAAGAAGCGGGCAACCTAGATCCCTTGCATGCGCAGTTCACAATAGGGTTCGCAATTCTTTTTTTTGAGATGGAGTCTCCCTCTGTCACCCAGGCTGGAGTGCAATGGCGCAATCTCGGCTCACTGCAACCTCTGCCTCCTGAGTTCAAGCTGTTCTCCTGCCTCAGCCTCCTGAGTAGCTGGGACTGCAGGCGCATATGACCACGCCTGGCTAATTTTTTTGCATCTTTAGTAGAGACGGGGTTTCACTGTGTTAGCCAGGACAGTCTCGATCTCCTGACCTCATGATCCGCCCATCTCAGCCTCCCAAACTGTTGGGATTACAGGCATGAGCCACCGCACCCAGCTGGTTCGAACTTCTATGAGAATCTAATGCCACTGATCTGACAGGAGACGGAGCTCAGGTGGTAATGCAAGTGATGGGCAGTGGCTGTAAATATAGATGGCGCTTCACTCAACTGCCACTCATCTCCAGCTCTGCGGCACAGTTCCTAACAGGCCACAGACCAGTCCTGGGGCCTGGGGGTTGGGGACCCCTGGCTTAGGGCCTCCCAATTTTCATTCTTTTGTATACAATTTGTTCTTTTAACAAATATTTCTTGAACAGTTGTCATTTACTAAGTCCTGTGCTGGGTACTAAAAATATAGAGGTGAACCAGGCAGATGTCATTCCTGCTGTTAAGTAGCTTCCAGTCTAATGGTAAAGAATCATTTGAGATCGTCAAGATCTCAATGTCAGAAGCCAGGCAATCCTTCTGTGGACTGGGGACAGCAGGTGGCTTTAGGATGATTTAAGCACATTACATTTTTCGTACACTTTATTGCTATTATTATTACATTGCAATATATAATGAAATAATTATACAACTCACCATAATATGGAATCAGTGGGAGTCCTGAGCTTGTTTACCTACAACTACTCAGTCCCATCTGGCGGTGATGGGAGACAGTGAGGAAATGGGAACGTGGAAAAGAGCTAAACCAAGAATGTAGGAAGCCCTGGATGGAGTAAAAAAGCAGAAGGGAACTCTACCCATTAGCACAGTGTGGCAGAGATGCCAGAATACATGCTTTGCTATAGAACATGGATGAAGACTGATGCTTTTTGCCTTCACTGAGAACCAAGTAACTCCAGCCTGAGGGATTCTGGCAGGAAAGCAACATTTCTATATTTTTGAAAGTTTTTATAATAGAAAATAGGCATCTAGAGGAGATTATGGAATATTGTCTGATGATCTTTACAACAGACCCACAGGCCTTGGGTGGTCTAGCCATGATCTTGTTTGTGTCTGTCAGTGACAAATTGGGGAACTCTTCAGGGTCAGTCCAAGCGTGATTTGCATTCATATGGTTGACAGAATTCTTAGTGATCTTGGGCAATATGTATCTACTTTGTTATTTAGAAACAGGTATTACAATATTTGAAACTGATATTAGGTTTTATGAACTATAGGCAAGATACAAGTAAGTCAAATTTTATTGAATTTAGTTTTTAATGCATTAATATGAATTACAAAGAGGCATCTTCTGAGCCAGCCATGTAGTTTTGCATATATTGCAACAACTTAAAAATATGTTAGCATTCAGTTGTATTTAGCCAGAAGAATACCAAATGTATCCAAGTCCATAAATTGAGAATTGAGCCAAATGTTCTATAAGAAAGATCATTCCGATTATTAGAAACAATCAGCCTCCCACGGCCATCATCATTCTCCTTATCACAGTTATTACTGTTCCATCCAGCATGCTACTCTAACACTGGGTCAGCAAAATCACAGTTGTATTACACATTTCAGGCCAATTTAGTTAGTGGTTATACCCTCCGCACTAACATAGACAACTCAGTACAAATAAGGTATTCAGGAGACTGATAACTGGGCCTCCTTGCCTCAAGTGAATTCCTTGAATAAAATGTGTTCCAGTCCTTATCCTCTATATTGGGTTCTAGTCCAGTTCTTTATTAATATTATATTTATTCACTTCTGTTCAGCAAAGACAAAAGGTATCAAGAATGGACTAAACACTAGGAGTGAAAGTTAAAGTAGTCCAGTAAGTAGATAGCCTTGAATGCTGGACAGAATCTGATTTCGAAGAGCCAGTCTTTCACCAAGGTCAGATATTATGATTTTCTTTTTATTTTGAGACAGGGTTTTGCTCTGTCACCCGGGCTGGGGTGCAGTGGTGCAATCACAACTCACGGAAGCCTTAAACTCCTAGGTTCAAGTGATTCTCCCTCCTCAGGCTCCCAAGTAGCTGGGGCCTCAGATGCGTGCCACCACACCTGGTTAATTTATTTTTGTTTTTATAGAGACAGGGTCTCAGTATGTTGCCCAGGCTGGTCTCAAACTCCTGGGCTCAAGGGCTCAAGCAGTCCTCCCGCCTCAGCCTCCCAAAGTGCTGGGATTACAGGTGTGAGCCACCACACATGGCCAGCTATTTTTTATTTTAGGTTAAAATTAGCTAAATAGATTTTCTATTTTAAAATCAAAACATATTGCCTGTATTATACTTTTTCTGTGGTTCTATTATTTTTTAAAAATGATAAAGTGTCTTTTTTTTTTTTGAGATGTAATCTCACTCTGTTGTCCAGGCTGGAGTTCAGTGGCACAATCTTGGCTCACTGCAACCTCCGCCTCCTGGGTTCAAGCAATTCTCCTGCCTCAGCCTCCTGAGTAGCTGGGATTACAGGTGCCTGCCACCATGCCTGGCTAATTTTTGTATTTTTAGTAGAGAGGGGGGGTTTCACCATATTAGCCAGGCGGGTCTTGAACTCCTGACCTCAGGTGATCTGCCTGCCTCGGCCTCCCAAAGTGCTGAGATTACAGGCATGAACCACTGCACCCAGTGATAGAGTATCTTTCTGGTTTAGAGAAGGAAACAGGAGACAGCTAAGGAGCCCAGGAACGAGGCTGAAGGCGACAGAGATGGGAGCATAAAGTTGATAGGTGTGTTTGACAGCACAATTATACTACAATCTTTTGATGCAGAAGAGAGCATAAGATTAAGTACATTTGATTATTACCTATATATATATTACACTAATATAATACAAAGTTTGGAGAAAAAAATATGCAACATTATTTAATCACTCACCCCTTCTTTCTCCCTTTTATGGACTGAGTGTGTCTTCCCACAAATTCATACGTGGAAGCCCTTACTACCAGTGTGGCTGTATTTGGACAGAAGTTATTAAAGCTAAATGAGGTCAAAGCAGGGCCCTGATGTGGAAGGATTAGATAAGAAGACTCACCAGAGAGCTTGCTAGCCTAGTGTCTCTCTCTCTTAAAAAAGAGGTCATGTGAATACACAGCACCGTGGCTGCCACCTGCAAGCCAAGAGAAGAGGCCTCAGAATGAAACTTACCTTGCCAGCAACTTGATCTTGGAATTCCCAGTCTCCAGAACTGTGAGAAATGAATTTCTGTTTTTGAAGTGGCCTAATCTGTGGTGTTTTCTTACAGCAGCTTGAGCAGACTGATAACGCTATTTCCAATGTCACTCCTAAGAGAGGAAGCCCTGTAGAAGATGTGGCACTGTTAATGGGCTATTAATTCATAAAATAAGCAAATAGAGAACAGAGCATATTACTTTTCAGGGTGAGTGATTTAAATTTTGAGTAAATGGCAGCCTGCATCACCATCCTCAGCACTCACTTTTGTTCACTTTTAGGTGATGTTCTGCTAGGTCTGCAGGATGCAAGTAAAATAGACGTGGTCTCTACCTAGCAGAGTATTCTGTTGATTCATTCTAGGTTTGATAGTTTGTGTTTTAACCAGAAAAAAAAAATATGTATTGTGGGATCCTCCCACTATCCTAACTTTATTCTGGCATGCCTAAATAGGAATAGGCAGACTCAAAACATAAATCTGCTCACAGCTGGAAGGTCGTACAAAGATTGAAGTGAATGGAGGATGCAGGCAAAGGGTGGAGGAAGGGACATGACCTTGAACTTTAGAAATGTAAATTGATACTAAACTTTAAAGTGAATTATTGTGAAGGGCTTTTTTTTTTTTTTTTTTTTTTTTTTTTTTTGTTAGACCAGGCTTGTAAAGCTTACTGGGTAACCTATCTAGAGGAAGAACTGGGTTTTGACCCATTGGCTTATCACATTTCACGTTTTATGTGTTAAGTCATGAAGTACAAGAAAACAAGTGGATAGGAACAATTGCAGGTTTTGAAACCCAAAAGGTAGCAGGGTGGTCCCTTTTGATCTGTGTGCTGTTTCTTTTAACTGTGTGCTTTCCAGTAGTTAGAGTCTGAAATTATTACAACTGGGAATGACCTTCTTCTCCTTTGAGCTCCCTGTTTTTTTAACCACATCCCCACAGATGTTGTTAACTTTTGAGTTTTATGTCAATCTACATAGACAGCCTACAGAGGTTAAAATGAGAACCTTTCCAAACCACAGTTCCCCTCACCCCTCCTTTTTTAAACAACAGACTTTTCTGGATAGAAATCAAATTGATAGCTAAAGGAAATAAATTTGATCATTTGCTTTCCACCCCCTGGTGTTAGTTCTGGTATCCTAGGAGCCAAACAAGCGATTGGCTCATTCACAAGCCTCTCTAAAGGTACAAGAGAAATTCCTTCTCTGATTAGAGATTAAACCAATGCTTCAGATCTTTCAAATACACAGGCTAATTAGAAATCGTTGGGCAGCCATAGCGGGCAAAGCTTCTTACATTTGTGTCTTCTTTTCCACTCTTTAACCTTGGGGAAATCATACTTGGGAAGCTTCTTAGGAAAGCAAATCAAGTGTTGGTGACACTGTGAGTACAGATTAATATAATATTAGTAATTACACTTGGGAGGCTGTGGACACTTGAAAAATATGTCATTTTGTCCTGTAGGGAAAAGAACAAGTGCAAAGACTGAGGATGTGATGAGACTCAGGGAATTGAAACTCGTGAAGAAACTCCAATGGTCTTAGTTTTCTGTTTGTCTTTAAAGCATTCTGATTTGGATATGTCAGCATAGTGACAAATTTATTTATTAAGCATAGCTTTCGCAAGTGTTATTTTTAAGGAAAGTCTGTGTGTCTAGAGATGCCAGGAAAAATAACAAGGAGAGATTGGATCTATTCTATGAATAGTTTCAAGAGGCATGTAGCTTCTCCCTCCTGTCGTGCGTGACTTCTGGAATACAGAAAGAGCTTTTAATTGCATCTGTGTGCAATAAGAAAAAACAAAGGTGACATAGAAAGGCAGCATAGTATAAGTTTTTAAATGTATAGTGAATAATTAATCTGATATTAAAAAAGAAGAGGACTCAAGCTCTCTGTTACTATAAACATTAATAAGGTGGAGGATAAATAATTGGAAACATAATGCAAATTTTGACAAGTCAGGTTTACACTCTTGTTCCAGGACAAAGTTAACTCCTTGTAACCCACACAATTATAGACAGGGTCAGTTTGAATTCCCTTGAGGCTCTGGCATTCTAACTAAGGAATACTATTTCTAGATCTTCAAATGGTCTACTGGTTTTATGTTTTCTATGGAAAATGGAAAGCATTGTGCTTACTTAAGGTGGATATATTTCTTAAAAAAACATTATTCTTGTTGATGCAAATCAATTCATGTCTTGGCCTCCTGCCCCCACCCCTCTTCACCTCCTGCCCCTAGTTCCACCAGAAATAGTATAAAGGAATGCTTGTATTCTAAAATAATTCATTGTGGTAATTTATTTTTGTTGTTACACTGATCGTGAGAGATTTGTAGTAGTATTCTGACATTTTCTTGATTGTAAGAGCAGAGGAAAAGTTATTTTACTTTTGAGCCTTACAAAACCATTTAACTTCATGCAAGGAAACTAATTTAAAGCCGAAGAATGCCCCTCTTGCCCTGGCTAACCATCTAGCCTGTCATAGAGCAGTTAATAACCAGATTCCCATTCAACCATGGCACATTGCCCTACTGCAAACTTGGCAGCCTCAGTGGGGCCTCCATACCACTTTAGCCATCCTATTATGTTTGTCTAGAATATTCACTTTCCTTTTGTACCCAGAGACTTACTCCTCCTCTAGTATCCCCAGGTCTCCTCCTTTCCATTTTCAATTTCCTACTCCCATCCCCACTATATGATTTGGCCTTAGGAGCCTAATATAGAAAACAGCAGCCCTCAGACAGGAATGCCCCCAACTTCCCACCGTCTAATCTACCTTTTATCTGGGTTGCTCCTCCTGTTACAATAGAAGAAATGTCCCTCTGCTTTTTAAAGATTAGCATGTGTCCTGTTCTCCCACCTACTCAGAATCCCACATCCTCTCCTCTCTCTTATGGATCTCAGTTTTCATTTATTACTAGATCCTTCCTCTACTCAGTCAAGCATACTGAAGCACCTCCCATGTTAGAAAACACTCCTTTGACTTTATGTTTTCCTCTGGCTACTAGTAGTTTCACCTCTCATCATGGAACTTCTCAAGTTGCTCACTGCTTTACTGAAACTGCTCTTGTAAGGTCCACACCCTCCATGTTGCTACTTGAAAGATTTCCTCTTACTTAGCATCCCAAGAATATTTACCCAATTGAACAGTCCTTCTTATTTAAGGCCCTCTTCTCTTGGCTTCTGTTTCACTGTGCCTTCCTGTTTTTCCTTCTCTCTCCCTTGCTACTCCTCCACCTCTCCCCAACCTCTACCTGTTACATCCCTGTGGGTTGCTATCTAGGCCTTCGCTTTGGGACTCCCTCTTTTGAGGATTTTCATCACACACTTGGCTTCAACTATCATCTACCAGCTGATACAACCCAAGTTTATATTTCCAACAGGATTTCCTTCTAAGCACCAGACCCCTACTTGATATCCCTAGTCTGTGTTGTGAGGACCTCGGATTCAAGATGGCCAAAACTAAACTCATCATTCACCTCCCAGACCTGATCCACCTTCTGTGTCTCCTTCCTCCGTAAATGGCCTGACATCCACTCTTTCACTCAGAATGAAAAAAGTAATTCTGAACACCTCATTGTCTACCACCTCTCACATCCAGTCAGTCTCTAAATCCTGCTGATCATAGCTCTTAATTATTTCTGGGATGTGTTCACTTTTTTCTAATTCCAGTGACTCCTTCCTAGGCTATCCAATAAGATAGCTATCCTAGGCTATCTCTTGCCTGAGCCATCACAACAGCCTCCTATCATCTTCCTACATCCACGTGGGCAACTGCAATCAAGTCTCTGCCCTGTAGCCATGGTAATGGGATAAAAGCAAAAACATAGTCATATCATTTCCTCTTTAATACACTTCAGTAACTTACAACACATGAAGTCCTTGATGTGGCCTATTAGGCCCTGCCTGCTTCCCTGGCTTGGTCACTCCAGCCACACAGCCACCTCAATGCTCTGTGTTTCCGGCTCTGTGGCCTCTGCATGTGACCTCGCAGTCTTCACCTGGGTAAAGTCTTAGTTATCCCTTCCATCTCTGTCTAAATGTAACTTGCTCAGACATCCTCTGAATTAAATCAGGCACAATTATCACAGTTGTTCATCATGCCTTTTAGTTTCCCTCGAACTTTTCTCCATTCACCATCATATGTCTCCTCTTCTGATGATCTAACGTTTGTCACCTCCAGTAGAATGCAAGTTGTAGGCTGTCTGTCTGTTGAGTCTTACACATTCCTGGCATGTGGTGGATGCCCACTCACAGTAGTCAAGTGAATCAGTGAGTGAGTGATGAATAGGAACATCCTCTGGAATGGACTGAATTCTCTGGTCACTCAGACTGGCTCTTTTAGAGCCACTGATGGTGGGACAGGCTCCCATTCCCATGGGGTGCAGCTTGCTTGTGAGGTAGAGTGTTCCTGTTTTCATCAAAAATCACTCCCAGTGGAGATACTCTGTGGGTGTGGATGTGGATGTGGGTGTGGGTGTATACCCTTTTACCTCTAAAGAGTGTTTCATCTTGAAGAATTCTACATGAACATGAAAGATAACTTAGGTAAAATCCAAACATAACTACATTGACCCAATAAAATGACATTAACTTGGAATGTTTCAACAAGAGATATTAATGCATAAACACACTTTTCAGCTTTCTCTTTACCAAGATTGTTTATAGTTTGTTTGCTTGTTTTTTAAATTGAGAAACAAACAAGACACACATTTAAAAATTAGCACTAGCCTCAGTCAAAGTCTTCTGTAATTTGTGAGCCTTATGGATGATAGTAAATCAGGAAGGGTTGTTGATTTAATGTCACAACAAGGGCTAGTTTTAGTCTGCTTGACTGCATAATAATCAACAATATTCAAACAAGCAAATATTGAGTGTGTTATGAAACCCTGGTGGTGAGGGAAAGAATAACAACAAAACTAGAAAAGGAAGCCAAATACTGTAGAAGAGGAAAATATCTAGTCCTCAACCATCACTAGGTTTATGGCTGATGCCCCTACATCAATCAAAAGATAGATTCACAAGCAAAAGAACATACAAATTTATTTAATGTTAAGTTTAGTATAAGTTTTGGGGGATAAAGACCCCAAGAAACAGGTAAACTTGTTATTTTTATGCTTAGGTTTGATGAAGAAGTGGTTAGCTATAGTGAAATATGATTGGAGGCAAAAGGTCTGTAGTGATTTTTTTTCTAGTATTTGCAAAAAAGAACTATTTCTACATGTGTATAAACCCCAACCGTTAAACTTGATAACTTGTCTGCCTGTAGTAGGTATGTCACAAAACTACGAAGACACACCATTCAGTAAAGGAGTGGAGGAAAAAATTTCTTTTTTCAGCTCTCCACTCGCTCACCTCCAAAACTCTCTGTCTCCATACCTGAGTACCACACTGTTGCACGTTATATTTATTCAGTTATTCCTCTCTTACCTTGCAATGGAAGTCTTGGTATTTCCATCTCTTGGCTTCTTAAATTCCCAAATTGTAAGCTAGCTGGATGGTTGTGTTTTAGCATGATTACCCTCACCAAATTGTGTGATTATTAACTTTAGGAAATCCTCTGTGGAGTTGAATTAATCAATCAACAAGCATTTATTTAACTATGAATTAGAGGAAGGATTCTGCAGAATGTAAGACGATTGATGCTTGTGCCCTGTTTATATCTCCTCAGTTACTTAAGGAGGCTAACATAATGCTGATAATAAGGAAAGGGTAAAGAGAAGAGGTGACCAGGTGTTCCAGATTGCAATTTCAATGACTAGCTTGTTTAAGCTACTTCTCAGATAGTAGTATACAGTACATTAGAATTTCTTAAAGATTTTGTTAAAACTGATGTTCCTGGGCTCAACTCCCCCAACCCTCCAGAGATCCTGATTTAGTAAATCTTGAATAGTCCCATAAACTTTCATTTTTATGTGTCTTAGTCCATTTTGTGTTGTTATAACAGAATACCAGAATACCACAGACCATAAGTAATTTATAATGAACAAAAATGTATTTGGCTTATGGTTCTGGAGGCTGGAAATTTCAAGAGCATAGTGCTGGCATCTTTTGAGGGCCTTGATGCTGTGTCAGCCCATGATGAAAGGCCAAAGGGCAAGTAAGGGCAAGAGCAAGAGAGAGCAGAACTCACTTCTATAACAGTCCACTCTCACAATAACCACATCAGTCCATTCATGAGAGCAGAGTCCTCATGACCTGATCACTTCTTATTAACCCCACTTCCCAAGACCATTGCACTAGGGATTAAGTTCCCAACACCTGAACTTTGGGGGACACATTTAGACCATAGCAGTATGCTTCCAAGAGATATGGATGTTGCTGGTCTGACCACACCGAGTACACCTGGTTTAGTCTAGCCAACAACAGGAGCAGCTGACTCACGTGATTTCCGTCTACCACTTTTGCAATAAACCTGTGTTGTAAGAAATGAAAGAATAGCTGAAAAAATATAGAAGAACCTCTAGTTATGTAACTCACAGAGTGATGTGGTCAGAACGTGGTGGATATGGTACTCAAAACAGTATATTGAGTGGTGGACAGTATTTCACCATTGGTACAAGCAGCACGTGGGCTGACCAGCAAAAAGTATGTTGCCAGAATCTGAATAAGTAGGAGAGGACAAGAGATTTCTGAAAAGACAAAGAGGAGCTTAACTTTTGCAATAAGAATGGCTGTCACAAACTCAGTGGTACGTCTCAGTGGTGCTGCTCATAATCAGTGAAGAGCTCTTAACTCAGGGAAGACCCACCTATTCATGGAGGGAGCCTCGTGGGTAAAGCCAGATGCATAGAATACTGGGTTTCCCTACAGCATGCTTGCTGCTCAAGGGTTAATACCACTAGGTTTCAAAGAGGTCTTGCTGAACGTCCATTCTCTAGTTACCCCAAAAATTATCTGAAGAGGCTTTCCTCCCTAGCCAGAGGATGCTTGTCAAAATTTGGGTAACTTAAAAAACACTTGCATTGCTTACTGACCCAGAGCTTCACCTCTGTAATTAGAATAGCACTTTTCTTTGTTTTCCCAGAGGGCAAAGGAGTTGCCAAGTATTTAGCAATCAGCATCTAACAAGCCCCATGGAAGGAACTATTGATTGGGCTGGAGGAAAAACAAGTACAATCAAGTTTCAGACTAATCATCAGAATTCAACATTGACCAAGTTGTCCTGGAGACTCATTAAAACCCCTCTCTTTGGCTCGGAGTAAGGGAGTTTCTGGGTTTTTGGAGAAGGTCATTGGCCTTATGAAAAACCATGGTTCTGAAATTTGGAATATTTTCTTACTCTCAAGGAACCAAAAACACAGTGAATAAAAATTGTAAATCCCCACAGTAGGTTTTATAATTATAAATGAAAGACAGGGAGAACTTCAGCATTTAACATCATAGCCAGTCCATTCACAGCAATTCCACTATGAATTGTGCATATTTTGGTGTCAATTTTGGTGTGGTTTCTTTTGGCTTGGTAACATTACAGAGCAACCAAGCCTGTTGCCAGATCTCTTTTAGGTACCTAGGTAGACTGTGTGGGACCTCAAGAATGTACAAAATCACCCCAGAAGAAAAAAATGTTGCCATTGTTTCCAGTTTCTAAATGTCTACATTAGTAGTGAAAACTGTTCTTATTTTGAAAAGCTCACAAAACATCCTGGTGTGATAGCAGTGTGTGCTATTTTGAAAATGTAGTTGATGTTGCATTATGTTATTCATATGCAAATCACACCTTTAAAAATAATCTCTAACGTGACAGACAGACCCCCATTGCTTCCTTTATGGCCAGCCAACCTTGGTCCAAGAAGCCAGCTTGTAAAAGGAGCTCACAACCTTTGCTTCGTTCTTTGTAGTGTGAGGCAGTCCAAGCCATGCTATTTTCTTTCTTTCTGGAACTTAAGAGGCTCAGTTTGCCTCGGCTTGAATTGATTGGAATTCATTTTATGATACCATCAAAACAAAAGAGAGAAATTTTTCTACTTATTTCCACCTATTAAGGTTTGTCGCAAATGTGGCTTGGAAACATGCAAAATGAATTACTTCGTCCTGTTGGGAAAAAATGCCATGCTGTTAATTGCATTGCTTTTCTGGCAAGCATATTAGTGTTCAGCAGTAGATATAATTGGAGGCACATTATAAATTAGAGATGAGATGACCACTCTTAAGCATGAGATCTCTAATAGCTTTGGATATAGGTGGTATCTGAATTCTTTTCCAAGGAGAAACAGGAAAGTTGCTAAAAAATGCTGACTGTGGTTTGTTATTGTTGTGAGAATTTGCAAATACTTTCTGTAGTGTTTGCATGGTGATTATGTTACTTTTGTAAGAAGAAATTATTCTTGAAATAACAGATGTTAAAATTTTCAGGACTACTATTATTTCAATTCATCTCCCAGTACCTGTAGTAGCTTCTTGAGATGAGCATTTCTCCTTCCAAAACAAAAAGTATATATAATTGTTATTATGGGGTAGAAGTGTTTCTTTGTTCTGAACTTTTAAATTTGAACTAATTTTAAACTTACAGGAAAGTTGTGAAAATAGCACATAGCATCCTTATACCCCATACCTTGTGACACCCATTGTTGGCATTTGACAAAACCATAGTAAAGTGATCAAGAGCAGGATCTTAACATTGGTGCCATATTATCAACTACAGCATTCATTAAAATGTCACCTATATTGGCAGGGTGCAGTGGCGCATGCCTGTAATCCCAGCACTTTGGGAGGCCAGGGTGGGCAGATCACTTGAGGTCAGGAGGCTGAAACCAGCCTGGCCAACATGGCGAAACCCCATCTCTACTAAAAATACAAAAATTAGTTGGGCATGGTGGCACGCACCTGTAGTCTCAGCTGCTTGGGAGGTTGAGGCAGGAAAATCGCCTGAACCCGGGAGGTGAAGGTTGCAGTGAGCTGAGATCGCACTGCTGCACTCCAGCCTGGGCAACAGAGTTGAGACTCTGTCTCAAAAAAATAAAAAATAAAGAAAATTTTTTTCGAAAAGAATTTCACCTATTTTTTCCATGAAAGTTTATTTTCTTTCTTGGATCCTATCCAGGACTTCAAATTGAATTTAGTTAATATTTCTCTTTCTCTTTAGTCTCCTGTAGTCTGTAACAACTTACCAGTCTTTCTCTTTCATAAAAATATTTCCTTCAGCACCATAGGAAAGGTAAAAAAGAAAAAAAATTTATTAAAGCAAATGTTTTATGTAATCTGGTGAAATATATACGCAAGATCATACCTGTGTGTGTGTTGAGGGGTACACATGGTGACTGAACAGGAAACATTTGAACTCCTTGTTTGCTTTAAGAGAAATATGACAGGGACCTTGCCAATATGTTAATGACATATGACAACTTAGCCTAATTCATCAAACTTTACTAATTCAGATTACTTGAAAAAAGCCACTAAATTTAGTTTTTTTAAAAGAGTCTGAAATTTACTTTAAATTATATTTTGCAAATAGATCAAGTTTTATTCCATTAACTTATGAAACTCTTAATTGATACAGCCTTTCATTCTCATTGTTGTCTAGGAGATCCCATTGAATATATAAGGCCAATTTAGAATTAGCATAAGTATTAGTTGTATGTGGTAGATTATGTCCACTTCAGAAAGTAATTTTCTTCCTTAAATATTCTCCCTAAGAAGGACCTTATCTTTTTTATTCCACTATAAAAAGGTATTGGCTATGCAAAGATAAACCAAAGCCTGAATCTTACCTATATTCTATAAATTTCAAATTAATATCATTCAAATTAACAGGTTTTTATTGTGTCAGAATCTTAAAGTTTTGTTACTAGAATATGATTTTGGAGAGCATTTGAACTATTTATAAACTAATCTACTCTTAGTACATTATCCTCTGTCCTTTTTCCACCACCACAGTCATGTGTATGCAAGAGGATCGTGAGCGTGGTCTGATAGGTAAATGTGGCAGTAATTCTCAACACTTCACCTGTCTTTAAGAATGACTGTTGGCGCAGCATGGTGGCTTACACCTGTAATTCAACCACTTTGAGAGGCCAAGGAGGGAAGATTGCTTGAGCGAGTTTGAGACCAGCCTGGGCAACACAGGGAGACCTTGTCTCTACAAAAAAATTTAAAAATTAGCCGAGCATGGTGATGCACACCTGTACTCCCAGCTACACTGGTAGCTGAGTTGGGGGGATCACTTGTGCCCAGAGGGTTGAGGCTACAGTGAGCCATGATTATGCCACTGCATTCCACCCTGGGTGAGAGAGTGAGACACTGTCTCTGGCGTGTGTGTCGGGGGCGGGGTGGGGGTGTGGAGGGAAGTATGCCTATTAAATGGAGATACACATGCCCCAGTTCCAAAAAGGTTTTTTCCCCCCTTTAATTCTGTTTCAACAGTTCTGGCACTGAGTATACAGCAGTTCAATTCTGACACTAACCATCCAGTTAGTGCAAACCCCACAAGTTGTAAGGCATGGTTGTGGTCCCTAACAAGACTGCCCTTACTGAACATGCCGGCCACAAGTGGTCCCCCTGCCACCCATGCTTCTGACTGACTGCCTACAAATCTAAGGGTTTCTACCTTTGGCTTAGTAATTCTCCAGAAGGACTCACAGAACTCAGGGAAGCACTTACACCTAATTAAAGGAAAAAGCTGAGACAAAATTAATGTAAGTAGAGAGTTTATTTGGGCCAAGCTTGAGGACTGCAACAAGGAGCATAGATTCAAGTTGCTCTGAACATAGACTCCATTAGCAGCAGTTACAAGTGGATTTTTTAAGAATAAAAGGGTAACAGGGAGTGGGCTGATATAAAGTTGTTTATCAGGAATTCTCAATGGTTTACAGAAATAACATTGATTAGTGATTGGCTATCTGTTGTTAAGCTATAGGGTGTGAGTTATAGTGTCTGGTGCAGCATTAGTAGGTTGATTTATGACTACTTGTGGCAACAGCAAACAGTTTTAAGGATGAATATATAGTTAAAGGAGGAAGTAGGATATGATTGCTGTATCATTTTAACATTTCTATGGGCCTGATAATTTAAAAGGTCTCACATTCCTCAGATAAAAGTTCTTTTCTTTTCTCATTGACATTGTTTTTAGGATATTCTATATAAACAATCATATTGCCTGCAAATAAATATTTATTTCTTCCTTTCCAATCTGGATTCCTTTTATTTATTTATTTTTATCTTGCTTGATTGTGCTGGCTACTGAGGATATTTTTAAGAGCATTTTATAATACAGCACAGTGTTAAATAGAAGTAGTGAGTGGGGACATCCTTGCCCTGTTGCTGTTCTTAGAGGAGAGTTGTTCAGTCTTTCATCATTAAGTATGATGTTAGCTACAGGTTATTTGCAGGTGCCCTTTGTTTATTTTTTATTCTTTTATTTCTTAAAAAACAAGGTCTTGCTCTGTCACCTGGGCTGGAGTGCAATGGTGCAATCATAGCTCACTGCAGCCTTGACCTCCAGGTTCAAGCAATCCTCCCAACTCAGCCTCCTAAGGAGCTGGGACTACAGGCATGTACCACCATGCCTGGCTAATTATTTTATTTTTCTTAGAGATGGGGTCTCACTTTGTTGCTCAGGCTGCCTTTGTTAAGTTAAGGAATTTTTTTCATCTCTAGTTTTCTTTAGAAATCATGAATGGATGTTGAATATTGCCCAATTTTTTTTCATCTTTTGGGATGAGCAGATGATTTTTCTCCTTTTTTCTATCAAAAAGACGAACTGCAATTCAATGCCTTTTGAATGTTTCACTAACCTTGCATGACCGTGATAAACACCAGTCAGTTTAAATATTTTGGTTTATACTGTATTATACTTTCTTTATATATTACTGGATTAAATTTGATAGTATTTTGTTAAGGATTTTCATGTTTATGTTCATGAGAGATAATGGCCTGTAGTTTCCTTGTAATGTCTTTGTTAGGTTTTGTTATCAGAGGAAAGTTAACATTATAAAATGAGTTAGGAGATGTTTCCTTCTCTCTCTCTCTCTCTCTTTTACTCTCTTGCCCCTCTCTCACTCTTTCCAGACAGACTCTTGCTCTGTTGCCCAGGCTGGAGTGCAGTAGTACACTCACAGCTCACTGCAGCCCTGACCTCCGAGGTTCAAGCAATCCTCAGTCTCCTGAGTAGCTGGGATTATAGGCACATGCAAGCATGCCTGGCTAATTTTTAAAGTTTTTGGTAGAGACAGGGTCTCGCTATGTTGCCAGGGCTGGGCTCAAACTCTTGGGCTCAAGGAATCCTCCCACCTTGGCCTTCCAAAGTGCTGGGATTATAGGTGTGAGCCACCATGCTTGGTCTCTTTCTCTTTGTATCTAAATAAGTTTGTGTAAATTTGTTATTATTTATTCTTTAATGTAGAATTCAGCAAAGAAGCCATCTGGACCTGGAGTATTCTTTGTGGGAAGGGTTTCAATTTCAATGTCACTATCTTTAATAGCTATGGAACTATTTGCTCTCTTTCTTCTTATGTTGCTTTTGATAATTTACGTCTTTCAAACAATCTCTTCATCTCTTGTTAGTTGTTGAGTTTATTAACCAAAAGTTGTTCACAATATTCCATTATTATCCATTTAATGTCTATAGTATCAGTAGTGATGTCCCTTAGGTCTTCTTCCATTCCTGATATTCATAATTTTTAAAATTATCTTTTATTCATAATCAGTTTTCCTAGAGGTTATCACTTTTTCTCATCTTTTCAAAGACACACCCTTTAGTTTCATTCATTTTTCTTTCTAGAAAGAAAATGAATGAATGAACAACCATTCATTTCCTTTCTTATTGATTTCTAGTCTTTATTATTTCCTTTTCCTCTATTGGAATTCAATTTGATTTCGCTTCTTCCATTTCTTTAAAGTGGGATGTTTGTATCATTGATTTTCTTTATTATAAAAGGATTTAAGGTTTTCAGATTTTCACTTAAAGCACTGCTTCAGCTACATCTCATAAATTTGGTAGTTTACATTTTCATTATTATCCACTTCTGAATATTTTCTAGTTTCTTTTATGATTTCTTCTTGGACTCATTGATTATGTATGCTAGTGTTGTTTAATTTTGTAATATATAACTATTTTTCAAATATTTTTGGTTTTGATTTCTAAGTTAATTTCATTGCAGTCATAGAACATATTCCATATGATTGCAGACATTTTAAATTTAATGAGACTTTTTTATGGCCTGGTGTATAAAATAACTTGGTGAATGTTTTATGTGTCCTTAAAAAGAATGTGCATGTTGCAATTTGGAGTAAAGTATCTGATAAATGACAATTAGATCAAGCTGGTTTAAAGTATTCTTCCAGTTTTCCATGTCATTACTGTGTCTTTGTCTACTTTCCTAGAAAATACTGAAAATTTCTCAGTATAATTATGGACTTTGTTTTTTCCTCCTTTCATACTGTCAGTTTTTGATTAATGTGTTTTCAAATTCTGTTGTTTAGGATTATTATATATGTTGTCTTTAAAAATTGACTCACATTATTATGTAATGATATTATTTATATCTGGCACTATTTCTTGTCATGAAGGTTATTTTATCTGACATTAATATAGCATTCCAGCTTTCTCCTGTTAGTGTCTAAATAGCATATCTTTATACCATTCTTTTACTTTTAACCAATCTGTGTCTTTACATTTAAATTATGTTTGGTTTCCAATAGATAGCATATAGTGATCAGGATTTTATTTTTGTGCAATTATCAGTATGGTTGGATCTCATCTACCATTCTTGCTACTTATTTTCCATTTGTCTCATCTGTTCTTTGTTCCTTTTCACCCCTTTTGCCATCTTTTGATTTGAGTTTTATTTTTAGTTTTTTTAAAAAACATTTTATGTACTCTATTTGCTTAGTAGCTCTATTCCTTTGTTATATTATTGATTGCTCTGGGATTTACTACATTCATCTTAATTTTATCGCAGTCTACCTTCAGATAATATACTACTGTATGTGTAATATCAGTGCCTTAAAACAGTAAACCTCCATTTTCCTCCTCACTCCTTGTGCTATTGTGGAAATGCACTTTATTTCAACATGTAAACCTCACAATGCATTATTACTTTTTTTATACAGGTAATTATCTTTTAAATAAATGTAAAACTGAGTAAAAGGTATTTTTTCCATCCTGCTTTTTATTTTTATGTAAATCTGAGTTTCATCTGATATTGTTTTCTTCAGCCCTAAAAATCTTCCTCTAATATGTCTTATAGTGCAGGCCTACTAATGATAAATTGTTATAACTTTTGTTTATCTGAAAAGTTCTTGATTTTACCTTAATTTTGTGGGATATTTTCTCTGAGTATAGAATTATAGGTGATTTTTTTTTCTATAATATAAACTTATTCACTCATTGCCTTCTGGATTACATTATTTCTAATAAGAAGTCAAAGATGATTCTTATCTTTTTTCACCTGTATCTAATATTTTTTCTCTCTGGCTACTCTTAAAATTTTCTTCTTATCACTAATTTGGAATAGTTTGATTAAGGTATGCATTGGAGTCATTTTCTTTACATGTATCCTGCTTTAGGTTTGTTATGCTTTTTGGATATGTAGATTTATACTTACATAGTTTTTATCAAATTTTATAAATTTTAACCATTATTTTTACAAAAGTTTTCTGTTCCTCCCTGTCTCTCCTTTTCTTTTGGAATGAAAATTGTATGTATGTGATGACCATTCATATTGTTTCAGAAATCACTTAGCCTCTGTTCAATTTTTTCAGCGTGTGTGTGTGTGTGTGTGTGTGTGTGTGTCTGTGTGTTTCAGTTTGGATAGTTTCTATTCTTGTGTCTTCAAGTTCGCTGATCTTTTCTTTCATATTGTCTAATCTGTTATTCTCATCCAGAGAAACTTTTAATTTAGATACAGTATTTTTCAGTTCTATATTTCTTTGTTGTTTTTTTAATATCTTAAGCTTCTCTCAGTTTCTCTTATGTTCATATTTTAAATCCTTGGGCATAAATAAAACAGCTGTTTTTAAGTCCTCATTTGCAGATTTCATTATCTCTGTTATTTCTGCATCTGTTTCTATTGACTGATTTTTTTTCCTGGTTGTGGTTCACGTTTTCTTGTTTTTCTGTGTATCTTGTAGTTTTTTATTAAATACCAAGCATTTATTTTAGTTCTGTATAGAGTATTAAGTTTTATTCTGGCTAGCAGTAATTTGCATGATCCCTCCAAAGCTTGCTTTTAAGTTTGTTTCGGATGGATGTAAGGTAGCTTTTCCTCTATGCGTAGTTTAACCCTTCTATTAAGGCATTCTGGGATCTGTGCACAATGCTGCAGGTGTTCACTGAGTTTTCTTCACTTTTAATGGTCAGAATTTGAATGACTTCAGCTTTCTGGTAGTTTTTCTTTCCCCAAAGGTTGTGATGTGCTCAACAGTTTTGAATCTCAGCTAAAAACGCAGGAGGATTTCTGTAGTTCTGCTCCGTGCCGCTTTCTCCTCTCTAGTACTCTGTTTCTCATATTCCAGTTACCCTGGTATCCTTGTGAACTACAACCTCCATCTCTTCAACTCAGTAGGACTGCTAAGCTCTTTGGTATTCCCATTCCTGTACCACAGACTGGAAAGTGTCTCCAGACAGAAAACTGGGGAGATCACAGGGCTCACTTCATTTGTTTTCTTTTCTTATGTCTCACAGAACTGCTCTGCGTGTCTGAACTATCTGAAAATAGTTGGTTTTTAAGTTTTGTCCAGGTTCCTACTTTTTTACAGTCGAAGGTCAGATCTGGCTACTGTAGTATCATGGCTGGAAGCTGAAATTCTGTTCTTCCTGCAGAGTTTTGTGCCCTGGGTTTTTGTTTTTTGTTTTTTGTTTTTTTTCCTTTTCCCTCTCTCTTTTTATATTTGAAGTCTTTTCTATAATATTCAGGAATTCTCATGTTAATGACTGGAGAATAGTCCTTTGAATGGATATACCACAATTTACATAAGAATCCCCACAATTCAAATAAGAACATAGACCCTCAGTTACACTGCATTAGTATTAATGTACATTTTTGTTATATCCATAGGATAAAATGAAATTACTGTGTCAAAGGAAGGAGATATTTGACTAGCTCTTTGTACAAATTACCATATTGCCGTCTAGATAGATTATTTTAAACCCAAAGGGTCACTGTATGACAGTGTGCATGCCACAGTGATCTCTTTAGTAGTGGATACTCAATTTTTTTTAAATTTCCAATTTAAGTAAAAATTTGTATCTTATTGTTGGAACTTTATTTGGAACTCCATTTATTTTATTATTGCTATGCTTGAATTTGCATGTGTCTTCTGGTTATTTGCATTTGTTAATTTAAATTCTGTCAAGTTAAAATATGTATGTGTTTTATAATATCAAATAGTAGAGAAAATCTTACAATGAAAACAGCCATTCCCTGTCGCACACCTCATTGTTTTAGTCCTATTGCTCAAAAGAAACCAGTTTTAACTCTTTTTAGATTTCTAAATTGGATCTTATAATGTCACAACCTCGGTTATTAATTTGAGATGTTTACTTCCTACTCTTAAGTTAGACTCTTACTCCAACTCTCTGTGTTCCTTCCCCCATCCTCTCAATATAGGTATATAGTTAAATCAATAATGCGTGTTCACATCGCTGTGCCTGTGATATTCTCTGCAGAGCTAATAATCAACTCATTACAGTTCTATTCTTGCATGGTTTTTTTCTTTCCAGAAGCATTTAATAGTTTTTCTCTTCTTCCTGCCATATTTCCCTTTGATTTTCTTTTTTAGCTCTAGGATATTTACTAAGTGCCTTCATTTTTTTTAACTGTTAAGTTCAGGGCATATGTACAGATTTGTTATATAGGTAAACTTGTGTCATGGGGGTTCTTTGTACGGATTATTTCATCACCCAGGTATTAAGCCTAGTACCTGTTAGTTACTTTTCCTGATCCTCTCCGCCTTCCCATCCTTCACCCTCCATTAGGCCCCAGTGGGTGTTGCTCCCCTCTGTGTGTCCATGTATTCTCATCATTTAGCTCCCACTTATAAGTGAGAACATGCCGTATTTGGTTTTCAGTTCCTGCATTAGTTTGCTAAGGATAATGGCCTCCACTTTCATCCATGTTCCTGCAAAAGACATGATCTCTTTCTGTTTTGTGGCTGCATAGTATTCCATGGTATATATGTACCACATGTTTTTTATCCAGTCTATCATTGATGAGCGTTTAGGTTGATTCCATGTCTTTGCTATTGTGAATAGTGCTGCAGTGAACATACATGTCCATATGTCTTTATAATAAAATGATTTAAATTCCTTTGGGTATACACCCACTAATGGGATTGAGTCAAATGGTAGTTCTGCTTTTAGGTCTTTGAGGAATTGCCAGACTGTCTCCCACAATGGTTGAACTATTAAATAATTTACATTCCCACCAGTAGTGTATAAGTGTTTCATTTTCTCTGCAACCTCACCAGCATCTGATATTTTTTGACTTTTTAATGATAGTCTGACTGGTGTCAGATGGTATCTCATTGTGGTTTTGATTTGCATTTCTCTAATGATCAGTGATGTTGAGCTTTTTTCATATTAAAAATATGTTGGCCACTTGTCATTTTTTGAAGTGTCTTTTCATGTCCTTTGTCCACTTTTTAATGAGGTTGTTTTGTTTTTTTCTTGTAAATTTAAGTTTCTTATAGATGCTGTATATTAGACCTTTGTCAGATGCATAGTTGCAAAATTTTTCTCCCATTCTGTAGGTTGTCTGTTCACTCTGTTGATAGTTTCTTTTGCTGTGCAGAAGCTCTTAAGTATAATTAGATCCCATTTGTCAGTTTTTACATGTGTTGCGATTGTTTTTGGTGTCTTCTTCATAAAATCTTTGCCCATTCTTATATTGAGAATGGTATTACCTAGGTTGCTTTCCTGGGTTTTTATGGTCTTGGATTTTATGTTTAAGTCTTTAATCCATCTTGAGTTAATTTTTGTATGTGGTGTAAGGAAGGTGTCCAATTTCAGTCATCTGCATATGAAGTGCCCTGAAGTGTGAGGATCACTTGAGCCCAAGAGTTTGAGGGTGCAGTGAGCTATGATCATGTCACTGCACTCCAGCCTGAGTGGCAGAGCAAGATCCTGTCTCAAAACAAAACAAAAAAAACTTAGATGAAATAAATTTTTAGTAAAAGATAACTGGTCAAAACTGATCCAAGAAGAAGTAGGAATCTGAGTAAGTCTGTAACCATTAAATAAATTGAATCATTAGATAGAATTCTTTCAAGGGAGAATACATCAAAGATTTTAAAACAAGTTTTACCAGACTTCCAAGAAACAGATCATTACAATTTCAACCAGTCTCTTCCAGAGAAAGGAAAAGCAAGGGACGCACCCTACCTCATTCCATTAGACTCGGTTAATAATTCACATTAACAAAAGAGAACATAGATATGATCATTTCAGTAGACACAGAAAAATTATATTACAGAATTTAACACCTGCTCATGATTAACAACCAATGCAGCAGAAGTAGTAAGGGAGATCCCTTATCTTAATAAAGGGTCCTGATAACAATAGAAACAAAACCAGATACCACACAAAATGGGAGGAAGCATCACTTTTAATGATTTTCAGCATTTAAAACAAGACAAGACTCCCAGCTAATCGGGCTTCTATCTCACCGATGTACCCATGGCCCTGTCCGGTGTAGGAAGTCAAGAAAACTATTTTACAATTATGAGGACTGGAAAGGAAGGAACCAACTACTATTATTTGCAGGCCCTATGATAGTTCTAAGACTAAAGTTGTAAGGCTGGTTGTTAGAAATATTGAAAGTATTGAGCAAGGTAACCTGCAAGTATCAAAAACCAGGTTCCAACTGGAGAAAAAGCAATAAAACTATATTAATTTTAGAAACATAAAATGCTAAGAAAATCCAAAAAGAAAACATAAAGGTCTGCAAAAATATTTCACTAACAGCCATGCACAGGGCAGATTTCTGGTCCTAAAAGTAGCTGAATGCACACAGGTTGCTGGTGCTCCTTCATCCGTGGCTTCCCTGCCCCCCATTTCCCAGCCTCCCAGAAGCAGACTCGCTCTGATGGCTTTACTTTCTCTCCCTCTCCTCTGCCAAGACCTGCTCTAGCTGCTCTCACTAGTTGGCTCAAGATCAGAAAAGAATACAGTTATTTTTTTTTTCCTTTCTAAAAACTCCGTGTTTCCTGGAGACCTCTCAGAGTTTCAGTCTCTGGAGTGGAGAGAGAAGTCATCTTGTCTGAGTTCATCCCTAGCTCTCATATTCTTGGTACATTCTTAGGAATAATGGATAGTCTCTCCAGGCTCAGGTAATCCTGTCTGACTTGATCTGCAGCATCGAGTCAACCCTCCTTTCCCCAAGGGAAACGTTCTTCTATTAGAGGATGAGAGCTTCAACATAGCATAAATGTAAAGTAACAAATATACACATATACCATGTGATAAGTTAAATTTCAGAACAATCAGTAATCAACAGATTTAGAGTTAAAATGTAATTTCTCTAGCTCAGCAGTTCTCAATCCAGGGCATTTTTGCCACCTACTCTCCTGCCCTGCCAGACATTTGCCAATATCTGGAGGTACTACTTGTTGTCACTACTTGTAGGGGATGTGCTACTGGCAAATAGTAGATAGAAGCCAGGGATACAGCTCAACAGCATACACTACATGGGAGAGACCTGCTCCCCAACAACAAAGAAATATCTGGCCCAAAATGTCAATAGTGCTGAGACTGAAAAGCCCTGGTTTAAAAGTTATAAATCTAAAACATCATCACAATAATAACAGTGCACATTTTTTGAGCACTTACTATATCCCAGACTTGGTGCTAAGTAAACTGCATACATATTCTCACAGAACTAGTCTTATACCTATTTTATGTATAAGAAAACAGCCTTAGGGAGGTTAAAAAAAATTATGTAAGGTCACTTAGTGACTGATGCATAAAGCTGGAATTCAAACTGGTCTGACTCCAGGACCTGAAATTTTAACTAGGCTAAACTGCCTCCCAAGTTGGGACCAATGCCCTCATTTTATAGATAAGAGAACTGTATGAGATCCTAACGTAGGTTTGTTTCTCTTTCCGTCCTTATAGTTAAATGCTATAATGACTTGGGACAGACTCAGCCCAGAATTATTTTTACACTGCCAGAGAACTGTTTGGTTGAAGACTTACATATCTCTGATTTTACTGCAATCCAACTCAACATAAAATGACCAACCTACAGCTACACAGTACATTCAGGAAGAACTGAGAAAAACCCCCTCTCTCAAACCTTCAACACAAACACTCTCTCTCTCCCTTTCTCTCTCTCTCTCTCACCACTTATCAGTCTTCATTGCACTTGATTCTGCCTCCTAAAGGGGTTCCTTTTTAAGCTACACCTTCTTCTCCCTTCTACCCATGTCTTACTTAGCATTGGCCTGAAAACAGAGCCTGAGATGAGGGTTTGTATGCAGATAGTTTATGTGGGAGGTGGTCTCAGGAAACAGGAATGAGGCAAAGTCAGAGAGGAAGAAAAGCCACTATCAAGATGCGTTTAGTTACTAAGGTTGCCACAGTCGAAGCTCCCATCCTGATGGCTTTAAACCCAGGCGTTTCCAGGCTCCACGTAGGCTGTATAAAGGGCTTGGGGCAGATAATGGAAAAATGCATGTGAGCACTGCATGCTTGAGAAGGGGTGCTTTCAGTGAGGTTGTGTCTGCGCTCACACAGAACTGTCCACCGCAGCTCCAGCTGAATTCAGAGTTAAGCCTAAGGGATGAGAACACATTTCTTCTAAAAAATTTCACCAAGCCCAGAGACAGAACAGCAGGTGCGTAGGGGATTTCTCAGCTAAGCTGTCAATCTTCTGCTTCAGATGACTAGAGAAAGATGTCTTGGTGTGACAGGGATCTGCCATGTATGTGACCAAGTGGCCCTGGGATGCTTAGTGTGCTGCAGACTGTCTCTTGACACACCAGTTCTCCACTTTTTTCTCCCAAAATTATACTGGAACTATCTGGTTTTTCTGTAAAAGTTCTAGATGAATTCAATCAACAAGATGCAATCATTATGGCTCCAGTTCTCGTGGACACTATTGAGGAGGCTACCAATAGGCAGATAACTGAACTGAAATTGGAGGAACATGCATTAAATTAACAAAAGCCAGCATTACAAATCCAGCATGGTGTGATGTCCCACAGCCTTATGCAGAGTGATAAATGCAAACTGCTTATGCCCTGAGACAGGCTAAAAGTGAGAAGCATTGCATGTAAGTGCAATTATGAAGTGAGAGCAATGTCAAATGAGGAAGTGGTAAACTTCTTGAGTGTACCTTATATTGTCTTTTTTAAAAAGTAGCCAACATTTGTTGAGCACTTACCATTCCCATGCATTAAGTCATTTAAGGCTGCCTTGAAAAACTATTGAAGTATTTTAGAAGACATAACAGTGTTTACTTTTAGGGAGGATGGAGGAAATTGGTGGGGAGGGGCTGTGTGAGGCTCTTCTGGGGAACTGGCAGGGTTCTATTTCTTATTTCCAGGTAATGGATACAGAGGTATGCCCTTTTAAATAAAAATACATCCACTTGCTATATACTTTTTTGTAAGTGTGTAATATTTTGCAATTTAAAGAAGGTTAAATTATTGTTTAATGACTAAATGGAAAAATAACTGCTGGAGAGAGAATAATAATGGTGAGAAATTTTTGAGCATTTTATTTGAGTGATCTCATTTCATCTTCACAATACCCTGTAAAGTACATGACAATATTATTATCCTCGTCAGATGAGGAAATTGAGGCATATAGATTAAATTACTTGTCCCAAGTGACACTGCTAGTAGGTGGTAAGGCTTGATATGTAGACATGTTATTTTCACTTTTTAAAGTTTCAGAGCTTGCCTATTAAAGTGAGGTGCTCAATTGCATCTTGGTTTATTCAAAACCTGAGTGAGGTCTGAGCTGACTTAGTCACTCAGACCCAGCCTTAAATCTGCAGAACATTGAAGCCCAGAAATGCCAAGGACAAGGTGTCCCATGGGAAGAAGTCAGCCACCATGTTGTTTCAGAGCCGCTGACACTTTTCTTTGGAAACCTGCGTCTTTTCCCCAGTCTCTTGGATTCTCCTTTAAATTAAAAGTCACTGGTTATTTGTAGCAGTAAAGACAAGAGACCACT
Source organism: Homo sapiens (assembly GCF_000001405.40). Lineage (NCBI taxonomy): Eukaryota > Metazoa > Chordata > Mammalia > Primates > Hominidae > Homo > Homo sapiens. The sequence continues at coordinate 13,117,250 of NC_000006.12, forward strand.
TGGTTTCGTTTCTGCAGACTTGACCTAGGCAAGATGCCATGTTTAGTGAGTTTAGGGTTTGGTTTTAGTTGATATCCTTTTCATTGTTTGTTATATCTGGTCATTTTTTGAAACTTGGGCTCTTTTTCAGTAGTGATGTCATATGGATTTGTTTGGGAAATGGGTATCTATGAATAATCTCAGTGGACTATTAATAAGGGGCATGAAATGTCAAATTAAAATACATCCTTGGCTTGTAAAGGGCTAAAATTTGAATTCCCATCACCATCTGACCTGCTTAATTCAACCAAACAAGTTTTTATTTCGCACCTGTTGTGTAACCAGTTAGTACACACTGTAAGTTTCACAAAAAATGTGGTCTCTAGTCAAGGAGCTGGGTTATATGTGAATGTGTGCGTATTTTAAATCCCACTGAGACAGGCTTTTAAAATGGCATGTAACATAATTTACAGTAATTCACCTTATAATTTTAGCCTGCACAGATCACATGACTTTCTCTCTACATTATGTTCATCAGTGAGAGTAGCGCCATATCCATCCATCATCCCCTGGCGATTGTAATCTCCTTCCTTAGCCATCTCCTTTCCTGTGCTTTTATCCCACCTAACGCAGAGCTCTGCAGGTGCTAAGCATGCAACAGACGTCTCACATAAATGAGTGCAACCACACCCTCTCCACTCAACTTTTGCTTTTTACAAGCCGGAGCATAATTTTAAATATTCACGTTGCACACAGAATCTCATATTACTTTCCTCCTTAAATCAATATTTAGTGCTCAATGCTGGTCCTAGAAGCTAGATGGAATCAAATAAGAAATTCAACATTTGGTCTGTTTCTACCGATGAATTAAAGCTTCCGAGAAATATTTTAAACTTTTCTAAAATGGAAATGGATTGTAAGCTGAACGTGTTGATGGGTCTTCTGCTTCCTCCACCGTTCCTGCCAGGAGCACCTAGGCTTGAACATGTGCTATTATTGTTCACATACATCCAGAAGCACCTAGGTTTCATGGATGTATGTGAAGACGGCAGTTGTTCCCCAGTTATGCCTGGGATCCCTTCACATCCTCAGAAAGGCCAGAACTGTACTGACCTCAGGGAAGCAAGGAATCAAGAAGCCACTTGCCTGGGAGTTTTACCCAAGTCCTGCTGTCTTATTAGATAACATCCTCGTGAAGCTTCTCTGTGAGTTCATTGCTCTGAAGCTTGCCCAACCAGGGCCATTTTTTTTTTTTTTTTTTTTTTTTTGAGACGGAGTCTCGCTTTGTTGCCCAGGCTGGAGTGTAGTGGCATGATCTCGGCTCACTGCAACCTCCACCTCCCAGGTTCAAGCTATTCTTCTGCCTCAGCTTCCCAAGTAGCTGAGACTACAGGTGCGCACAACCATGCCCAGCTAATTTTTGTATTTTTAGTAGAGACAGGATTTCACCATGTTGTCCAGGTTGATCTCAAACTCCTGATCTCGTGATCTGCCTGCCTCAGCCTCCTAAAGTGTTGGGATTACGGCGTGAGCCACTGTGCCTGGCCCAGGGCCCTTTCTAAGAAGGGCAGCATGGCGCAGTGGAAAGAGCCCAGGCACTGCAGCTAGAACTACCTGAGTTTGCAACTCTATTTAGCTACATACTAGACTCACTTTTGGATGATTCTTGCGGTGCTCTGAGCCTCAGTTGCCTCATCTGTAAAATGGGAATGATACTACTTCTAATGCTAGGAACTATTGAGAGTTCCTATGAGTCAAAAAGCACCTAGCACATAATAGACCCTGAACAAAGGTTTCATCTCGCCTTATTAGAGGGCTTACGAAAAACCTCCTCTCCTTGTCTTCTCTTTTCAGCCTCTCTCTTTATCTACCTCATAAAAAAAATAGTTTTTTTAAACTTCATTTCTGTTTCTCCCCAAGCATATTTCTCACATGGTGGAAGATAGCAAATTAGGCCTTGTGCATGGTAAGAAAAGCTTCTCTTCCAGAACAATACCCAAACAGAGACTAGCGTCATGTGATACACTTTGGAAAACCCACTGGGATTAATTTAAACTTCTAACACTACTTGGAAAACAGCATTTGGCTTCAGAATTGACTTGAGATTTTTCACGTATAAAGTTTACCAATTTCATGATAATTTGGTCACTTTTCTCACAACATCAGAAAGCTACCGTATAGTCCTACACATACTGACCTCACTAGTGGGAAAATGAATTTTCTCCACATTAGAGGAAGGTGAGGCTCTGTGATGTATGGGGAGTGCTGAGGCTGTTCCCTAAGAAGGCCTCTCAGGGACCCACTAGCCCAGAATAGATGCTGGGGGAAGAGGCCCCCAGAGCTCCCAGCCCCTGCAGCTACAACTCACGTCCCAGGTTTGTTGCTTTTGCATCTCTGCTTCCTACTGAGGAGGAGGTTCAGACCTCTGCCTGTGCTCCAGCAGGTCATCCCTGAAGGGCAGGGCCTGAGAGAGGCTGAGCGGATAAATGCTTCTGCTAAAGCTTTAGCACCTGGGGTCTCAACAGCTCACCTTCAGCTCCAGGAACACTTCCAGCAGAACAGATGTTTCCATGAGAAGCCGACGGGTGTTCTTTTTCCCAGTTACCCTTCCCTGTGTCATTTTCCAGGAATCCAAACTTGTAGAGACAAAGTCTGAGTGGTAAGAGCGTGTGCCACAGATTTTTCCTTGTATGGAAACATCCAACTCAAACCCACCTTTATTTATGAGGGAGTCGCTTCCTGGAGATGCACCCTGCCTGTCACATCAAATCGACCTGCTGGATGAAATACGTGGTGAAGGGGCCCATGGACACATGGTCCGTTAGTTCTGGAAATACCTCTCCTGGTGCCTCCTCTTCTCTGTGGAGAAAACACCTTCCCTTGCCAGTGTCTCAAGAGTTTACAAATATTTTATTCATTCTTGCCACATATGAAGGACTTCCCTCCTGGTCTACAATCTAGCTTTGCAAACTAACTTTTCCTTTCCTCCTTCTTCCTTTCTTCTCCCTCCCTGCTTCTCCCTCTCTCCTTCTCTTCCTCCCCTCCTTTTTTTTTCCTGGAGAAAAACATTCCATTTAAACAAAGTAGGAAAACAGAAGACCCAGTGAAATTGAATAACAAGGGGCCCCACTGTGACATCCCAAACCCACACTGCTGAGATAGGACTTCTTGGCATGGAGAGTTAATAGGAAAATGATGATCTTAAATGAGTTAAGGACAGAGTCCAGGAAGGCTGACTGTCGAAGCACGCTGCTGGCCACTTCTGTCTTCACAGGGTGGGGAGGAGAAAGTGTAGGAGTGGTTTGGGATGGTAGCAATTTAGAGGAGGCCGAAGGTGGGGTGGCTGGTTTTCTCTTTTCTTTTCGCTAGCCCTTGAGTGTGGGACCTCCTTGCTTCCTTGACAGACTGTTAGGCTCATCTCTTTTATGTAATCCTGCAAGCCAGGATGGCTGTGGCTGCAGAGGGCATGCTGCCCTTCCTCTCTTCTCTTCCCTGCCCCCACTTGTAGGAAAAACAGGGGGCATGGGGAAAGGCAAGACATCATCTGCAAGGACTCCATGCAGTCCTCATTATTGTTGTCATTTTAAAGCACATGTTTGCCTCTTGTAGAGAAAACTTTTACCCAGCATTGCAGTGTGCGATGCCTCTGTATGTCTTCACATTTGTATCATTAAACTCAGTGACAGGGTGATTGGGAGCTCTGTGCCAACCCCCAGATGACAAAGAACAAGCCTGGCACCCTAGTCTAAAGAACATGAGGTCTGCCGGGCATTCAGACAGGTGCAGCTGACAGCCAGCTACACAAGACAGAACCAGATAAGGGTGTAAAGGAGGCGTGGGCACCACCATGTGGAGGGAGTGATGTTAACTTAGGTCTTGGGTGGTCTGCAGAAGGAACTTTCACTAGCTTGAGATGGATGCGTTTTCCAGATAGGGGAAGCGATGCCAGCAAAGAAGTACAGTGTGCCTGGAGGGAATCACTAGAATGTGGATGGGCTGGGGATGGAGGCACTTAGAAGGGAGATCTGGCAGGGGACGGAATGGTGAGAGGCACAGACTCCAGAGCCAGGCTGCCTGGGTCCAACTCCCAATCCTGTCACTTAATAGCTAGGTGACCTTGGGAAAGCTACCCAATCACTTTCTGCCTCAGTTTTCCCCTCTGTAAAATGGTAATATAGTACTTCCTTCAGATAGGTCACGTCTTCTCATATTATTGACCATATATACTAATTATATAATTATAACATAGAAGTCTATATAGTTAACTATTAAACAGGAGTTAACGATTACACTCTGCTATGTAGGATATTATCGTAGCTATTATTATTTGATACATTGTTTGCATGGGGTCTCACATGCCAATTTGATGAATGTGAATTTATTCTATAAGCAACGGAGAGACATGAAAGGGACTCAAGGTACATTTTATATGATCTGACATGGTTTCCAGCAAATAGATCTGGCAGCTATATGAAGGCTAGGTGGGAACAGGCAAGGCTGGCTGCAGGAAGACACATCGATGTCTCTTTCAATCTAGACAGGGCCTCGCCCAGGGCTGCAGCAATCTTCATGGAAAGCAGGCTGTGCATGAAATGATGGTGATCATATGAGCAAGGCTTCACAGTGAATCAGTTTGGGAATCTTGGGAACAGGGACTTACTGAGTTCAGAAAATGCATCATGCAATGTGAAGTTCAGGACTGCATGAGTTTTAAATATATATGTGTATATGCGTATATAAGTATGTATGTGAAAATATATACATAAAGTCTTATAATAAATATAGGCAGTATTATGACATGCCACACATTTATGGTGTGACTGCCTTTGCTTCTGTGTGATACTGAGGCAGTCTATTCCTGAGCCCGACAGCCACCACTCTTCAATAAAGACTCATCCTCCCTAATAGAATACTTGCCCGCACTTTCCAAATGGTAGGCAATCCAATGAGGATTGAAATAAGTGTTTTAAGAAAACATTTTTAAGAGTTTCAGTATGTAAGGACTTTGTGTTTTACATCTAGGTATCTTGTATTTTCAAAGGTTATTTTTAATTGGCATTGCATAACCTGCTACTGATTGATTCCCCAAATTCATATTCAGCTTATGTCTGTAATTAGGTGAAGTTGAACCCTCCCAAGGGAAGAGATGTGGTGAGCTTCCTCCACACCTGATCTCAGAAGAGCTTCGTAACTGTCAGAAGAAGTAAAGCTTTAAAAATGTGTGTGCACATCAGCATGGTGCTTGTAGGTTAACGTGTCCTGACAATGTCAAGCTATTGATATATTGGCTTACCCAATACAGGACTTTCCCGCTAGAATGAGGGCAATTTGTTTGTCAAACTTGTAAGAATTTTAGTGACAGTTGTTGAAATGGGGGATGAGTAGATGGGGGTTCATTGTACTGATCTTTCTACTTTTAAATACTTAAAATCTTTTGTATGTGTACTTTTTTATTTTTAAAGAGAATTCAACTTTTGGAAATTGGAAGATACTGTTAGGTATAATTCCCTTAGAGAGTACATGGCATGATTTTAGGGCCATCGGAAGGACCACTTATCCAGTCTAGCCTGATGCTCTCAGCATGAGATCAACTCTGTGAGTTAAAGTCACTGTCTTTAGTTCTTTTAAAGACAAACAAGGGTTACTACCTATGAGCTTGCACAGTGCCATACAAATATTCATTCGAGGCAGCACATATTCAGTGTTTTTTGTTTCTTTCATTTTGTTTAATTACCTGGCTTCTTAGAAACCAGGGAAGTGTCTCAGGAAGTGCTCACAAGATGAATTTGGAAGTAACATAAAGAAAAATCAAGAACGTAGCAAATTTCCCAGAGTGTGGCTCTCAGAACTTGGGAGGAGAAAAGGGCCCCCCAAAAAAGAGTGAAAGAATAAATAGCTTGGATATGAAGATAAACATTTCTTATATGATTTCACCTAAAGCCAGCTCAGCCTGTATCCAGCTCCTGGGTGTAGGTAATGACTTAGGAGAGAATCGCATTGCCTTTCTCCCCTCTGCATGGGGAAATCCCAGCTGAGCTCCCCAGGGATCAGATTTAGTAGTGGGAACATTTTAAAGGTTTTGAGGGAATCTCCAAATCTGTATATTCTTACAGTGAGGAGCAGAGTTAGCATTGAATGGGGCTGTCATGGAAGTATAAATGAAGGACAAGAAGGAGAGCAAGGAGCTTAACAGCTTGGCCCTTTCTCTCACCCAGGTGCAAAGCATTAAACATTTAAAGGCTTATAATGGGTGTGTATATTAAAATGGGAACAGGAAGGCCACCTAAATTTAGATCCTACAGCCAGCTTTGATGAGGGAAAATGAAAGTCATTAATATCCTCCATGAAATTAGAAGCTATCTTTCATTCTTGCCGATTTGAGGGTGGAGGGGTATAGTTGGGGTGTTTTGTTGTTGTTGTGAATCACTGAAATTTTGACAAGAGTGCCAATGTGCATAACCATTCTTCTGAAACAGAAAAAAGAACAGCAGGTTGAAATCAAAACCATGATGAATTGTGTTTGTATATGTTGTGACTCACACACACTAGAGGCTCCCATCACATTCCCTTGTGTTACCTGTGGCCCGGGCCAGGTAGGAGTTGCATGCTTTCAGGCTTCACAGTGGTGTGTGGTCTGAGGCAGAGGCTGGGGACACAGGCAGTCCTGAGGTGCAGTATTTCAAATGGCAGGTTTGAAGATGAAGAACCCTGCACCCGAAGTCAGACAGCCCAAGTCTCAAAGGAATCAGGGAGCTTGCTATCTTAGCTGGGTGGGGGATGCAGGTCCTCCCATGTGCAGATGATCCAAGGAAATAGAGTGCCCCCACTATCCAAAAGGCTGAGCCAAGATCCTCATCAAAAGAATCCAAGGGATGTGGGAGTATGAACTGCAGAGAGCGAGGTTATAAGCACTGCTCCAAAATCTAAGCAGGTCTCCCTCCCCACAGCATTTTAACCAGAAGCTACCATTGGGACCTCTTGTTGATGCTAGGAGAGTGATGCATCCCACCCGACTTGGGATGCCACAGAGCACAGCTTCCCATACCATGGAGTTCCCAATAAATTGTGTTCCTGGGGCTCATGTCACTGAAGGCTATAATAACATCTGTTTCCATTTATTTTCTGAAATGAGTCAATAAAATAACTATGTATGTTCCCTATAATACAAAATCATCCGAGAGCATTTAGGTATGCACATGCAGTAGTTGGTGTCCAATGAACAGGCTCACATGACTCAGTCATTTGGTCATTTTATTGTTCCTTCATACCCCCCTCACCTGTGGACATTTTGGCCACTAAGACAGTTCAAAATTGCCTTTATCCTTAGTCAAATATTGTTTCATTCATATCTCTAAAGGCCTTTTTATTAAAGACACAAACCCATGTTTGTTAGCTTGCGCTGCCATAACAAAATACCACAGTCTAGGAGGCTTAAACAACAGAAATTTATTTCTCACAGCTTTAGAGGCTGGAAGGCTGAGATAAGGGTGCCCGCATGGTGGGGTTCTGGTAAGGGCTCTCTCTTTGGCTTGCAAACAGCCGCCTTCTCACTGTGTGCTCACGTGATGGAGAAAGCCAGCAAGCTCTCTGGTGTCTCTTCTTATAAGTATGTCTATGTCTTATATGGTGTCTTTTCTTATAATCCCATCACCCATTGGAGGTTAGATCTTAAATATAGGAATTTGAGAGGACAAAAATGGCCAGTCCTTAATATGACCCAAATCTTGAGATTCAAACTAAAGATGTCCTGGTAGGGTGTTGAACACAGAACTTTGTCTCCATCTACTCCTGAAGCACCAGTAAAATGATAAAGGGGCATAGAGGCATGAATCCACAGGACAATGAGAACAGTGGAAGAGGCAAAAGGAAAGAGAAAAGTCCTCAAACTTTCACGGCTGGGAAGCAGGTGAATTGACTAAGCAAACCAGAGAAAGTTGAAAACCAGCTGCAGAGGAGTGGAGAAGCCAGGGACAGATGAAGAGTAACAAGAATCAACTGTAATAATTTCCTGCTATAGTGGCAGTCTTAGATGGTTTTAGAAGGGATTTTTCCTGAAAATTCTCAAATATCTGTTCTGCTCTAATTTGTATTTGTATTCTGATTTGTAAATACAATGGTAGTCTTTCTATTGCACTGGATTTTTTTTTTTGTATGTAGCTTGATTTTATCTGTTTTTAAGACCAGCAGCTTTTAGAAGTTGTTCTCATTTACCTTTCAGTCATTTTTTATGCTAGCTTCAATGGAAGAAACCTATTGAAAAGTAATTTATAATTTCTACTCCTATGACTTTATCTTCTGTCTCCCTCCAGCAAAGGAAAAAATATGTCACTCTTAAAAATTCATAAAAAATTAAAGAATTTAAATTAAAAATCCCCAATATCTAGTGGTATATTTCTTGTGCTTTAAAAAATATTGTGTTTCTGGGCATGGCAGCTCATGCCTGTAATCCTAGCACTTTGGGAGGCCAATGCAGGCAAATCACTTGAGCCCAGGAGTTTGAGACCAGCCTGGGCAACATGGCAAGACCCCATCTTTACTAAAAATACAAAAAATTAGCCAGACTTGGTGGTGCACACCTATAGTCCCAGCTACTTGGGAGGCTGAGGTGGGAGGATTGCCTGAGCCTGGGAAGTTGAGGCTGCAGTGAGCCATGATCGTACCACTACGCTCCATCCTGGGCAGCAGGAGTGAGACCCTGTCTCAAAAAAAAAAAATGTTAAACATAGTCCAAATTAAATAAATGCCTTTTGTATGAAGATATTTCCACATGGAAGATGTCCAGATTGTGCATCTGTGCTTGGTTAATATTTGATATTAAGAATTTAATAATATTTAAAAACATTTATGTTATTCAAGTAAGATTTCCTTCTCGGGACTCAGACCAAATAATGGTGCAAGAAGAAAGAAAAATGGTTCAAATCATACAACTGAATTGGCTGTGTGTGAGTGTGTGTAAATTAGAATTTATGTTAGTCAGTTCACTAATTGGCAAAAGTACTGCATTTACATTTAAGTAACAATAAACATCAGTGTATCTGGTACCTAGTACGTGCCAAATAAATGTCTGGAGGGGCAGGGAGAAAGAGAAGGGCAGGAAAGGAAGGAAGAAAGAATTTCACTATTTACTTCTTAAAATTTGCAAGAAGGACAAACCCAGATGCCCATAAAATATTACTTGCTGTTGAAAGTGTACTAAATGCTAGCTGAACCTCTGCAAGTTAGCAGAATGGAGAGATGGTTTGCATCAAGAGACCAAACTCTTCCCACTGAAGAATGGCCTTGAACAAGCCTCTTAGCCCTAGAACCAAAAAGGCGGCCCACAGTGGTATCCAAGCTAAATATCTACCACATATTAAGTGCATTTCTTGGCTCATTTAAAAAGGTGACCCACCATGGTATACAAGCTAAATATCCACCATGTGTTAAGTGCATATCTGGGCTCATTTAAATATCGCACCACCTTATGTGATAAATATTTTTCTGCTCTACAAACAAGGAAACTAAAATGTAAAGAGGTTCAGTAACTTGCCCAGGATCACACAATTAGTAAATGGTAGATATGGAATTTGTGCTCAGGTCTATTGGACTACAGAAATCTGTACTTCTAACCAATTGTCAAAACTTTACTATATACATCGTAGGAGAGGCAAATTTTTACCTCTATTCTTTTCAAGTTTTTTGGCTGGGCCTGAGAGTTACATTGATATAAGACAGAATCAACAGGAGAAAAGTATACAAATGTATTTAATGCAAGTTTTACAATGGGAGCCTTCGTCAAGAAATGAAAATTAAGACACAGAAATGAACACTTATATGCTGAATTGGACAGAGCAGTAAATTACGAAAATATAACAAGGTAAAGCGGTTTGGGCTAAGGTAGTTAATTGGGTGGAGAAGTGGCTAGGAAGATAAGGGTTCGTTTAACAAGGTTGGTTTAAATAGATTTCTCTGGGCCTCGATCTCCTTTGCTTGACGATAAGAATACTTTCCTTCTGGTGTAAGAAGGGCATCTTTCACATGGAAATTATCACCTGCTTTTAAGAAACAGAAGGAAGAAGCCAGGAGTGGTAGCTCACGCCTGTAATCCCAACACTTTGGGAGGCAGAGGTGGGAGAATTGCTTGAGGCCAGGGGCTTGAGACCAGCCTGGGCAACAGAGTGAGACCCCATCTCTAACAACAACAACAAAAAAATTAGCTGGGTATGGTGGCACATGCCTGTAGTCTCAGCTACTCAGGAGGCCGAGGCAGGAGGATCACTTGAGCCCAGGAGGTTGAGGTTGCAGTGAGCTATGGTCGTGCCACTGCACTCTAGGCTGCGTGACAGAGAGAGACCCTGTAAAAAAGAAACAAAGGAAAATAGAAGGAAGGTCACCAATGGTCTTTGTATACTTACTGGTTTTTAAGGGCCTTTAACTCAAAATAGTCAATATGTCAGAGTGGCATATTTTGGGGGTGGTATGTTCTTAAGCCCTTCAACACCCACACTTTTTTCTGGATGCCCATTTGATTCACAGTGCTTCAGTATTCTTGTTTGCCCTTTCTATCTGTAGTGGAAGCTGTAGTTGGCAGCATAGCATAATGTATTTATTCAGTGTTTCAAACATATGCATTGTATTAGTCCATTCTCACGCAGCTATAAAGGACTGCCCAAGACTGGGTAATTTATAAAGGAAAGAAGTTTGATTGACTCAGTTCTGCATGGCTAGGGAGGCCTCAGCAAACTTACAATCATGGCGGAAGGGGAAGCAAACATATCCTTCTTCACATGGCGGCCGGAAGGAGAAGTATGAGCAAAAGGAGGAAAAGCCCCTTAAAAAACCATCAGATCTTGTGAAAAGTCACTTGCTATCATGAGAACAGCAGCATGGGGGTAATTATGGGAATTACAATTCAAGATGAGATTTGGGTGGGGACACAACAAAACCATATCATGAAAACAACAAACATGGAATTAGTCTACCCAAATGAGAAGAAGCCAGAAAAGTAGTTCTGGTAGTATGATAAAACAGTGTTCTGTAATACCCCCGATCATACCAGCTTCCCAGCAATGGATCCAAACTAAAAAAAAAATCTGAATTGTCAGATAAATAATTTAGAAATTTAATTATTAATATTAAGCTACTCAAGGAGATAACAGAGAACGGTGAAAACCAACTTAAATAAATTTTTTTTTAAATGTAGGATATGGATGAAAAATGCCCCAGAGAAACAGATATCACAAAGAAAAAACAATCACAACTTCTGGAAGTGAAAGATACACTTAGATATATACAAAATGCAGTGGAAAGTGTCAAAAATAGTCTAGAAGAAGTAGAAGAAATAATTTCTGAGCTTGAAGACAAGGCTTTTGAATTAACCCAATCAGACAAAGACAATGAAAAAAAATTTTAAATGAACAAAGCCTCCAAGAAAATTGAGATTATGTTAAATCACCAAACCTAAGAATAATTGGCATTCCCTGAGGAAGAAGAGAAATCTAAAAGTCTGGAAAACTTATTTGAGGGAATAATTGAGGAAAACTTCCCTGGCCTTGCTAGAGATCTAGACATCCAAATACAAAAAGCTCAAAGAACACCTGGAAAACTCATTGCAAAAAGATTATCACCTAGGCACATATTCATCAAGCTATCTAAAGTCAAGATGAAAGGAAGAATCTTAAGAGCTGTGAGACAAAAGTATCAGGTAGCCTATAAAGGAAAAACCCATCAGATTAACAGCAGATTTCTCAACAGAAACCTTACAAGTCATTAGGGATCGGGGTCCCATCTTCACCCTCCTGAAATAAAATAATTGTCAGCCAAGGATTTTGTATTCAGTGAAACTAAGTTTCATAAATGAAGGAGAGATAAAGCCTTTTTTCAGACAAACAAATGCTGAGAGAATTTGCCACTACTAAGCCAGCACTACAAGACATGCTAAAAAGAGTTCTAAATCTTGAAACAAAACCTCAAAATACAGCAAAATAGAACCTCCTTAAAGCACAAATCTCATAGGGCCTATAAAACAATAACACAGTGGAAAAAAAACACGAGGTATTAAGGCACCAACTAACATAATGAATAGAACAGTACCTCACATCTTAATACTAACATCGAATGTAAATGGCCTAAATGCTCCACTTAAAATATAATGGCAGAATGAATAAAAAAATCCACCAACCAAATATCTGCTGTCTTCAAGAGACTTATCTAACACATAAGGACTTATGTAAACTTAAGGTAAAGGAGTAGAAAAAGATATTCCATGCAAATGGAAATCAAAAGTGATCAGGAGTAGCTATTCTTGTATCAGACAAAACAGACTTTAAAGCAACAACAGTTAAAAAAAAATAGGGACTTACATAATGATAAAAGGAATAGTCCAGCAGGAAAGTATCACAATCCTAAATATATATGCACCTAACACTGGAGCTCCCAAATTTATAAAATAATTACTACTAGACCTAAGAAATGAGTTAGACAGCAACACAATAATAGTGGAGGGGCTTCAATACTCCACTGACAACACTAGACAGGTCATCACAACAGAAAGTCAACAAAGAAACAATGGACTTAAATTATACACTAAAATAAGTGGACTTAACAGATATTTACAGAACATTCTACCCAACAACTGTAGAATATACATTTTTTTTAATACATGGAGCATTCTCCAAGATAGACCATATAATAGGTCACAACACAAGTCTCAATAAATTTAAGAAAATTGAAAGTACCCCAAGTATCCTCTCAAACCACAATGGAATAAAGCTGGAAATTAACTCCAAATGGAGCCCCTAAAACTATACAAATACATGGAAATTAAATAATCTGCTCTTAAATGCTCTTTGGGTCAACAATGAAATCAAGATGGAAATTTAAAAATTCTTTGAGCTGAACAATAATAGTGACACAATTTACCAAAACCTCTAGGCTTCAGCAAAGGTGGTACAAAGAGGACAGTTCATAGCCTATGTCAAAAAGTCTGAAAGAGTGCAAATAGACAATCTAATGTCATACCACAAGGAACTAGAAAAACAAGAACAAACCAAACCCAAATCCAGCAGAAAAACAAAAACAAAAACAAAACAAAACAAAAAGGTCAGAGCAGAACTAAATGAAATTGAAACAAAAAAAATTACAAAGGATAAATGAAACAAAAAAAACTGGTTCTTTGAAAAGATAAACAAATTTGATAGACCTCTAGTGAGATTAACCAAGAAAAGATCCAAGATCCAAATAAGCTCAATTAGAAATTAAACAGGAGATATTACAACCAATACCACAGAAATACAAAAGATTATTCAAGGCTGCTGTGAACACCTTTACACACACAAACTAGAAAATTTAGAGGAGATGGGTAAATTCCTGGAAATATACAACCCTCCCAGATTAAATTAGAAAGAAATAGAAACTCTGAACGACCAATAACAAGCAGTGAGATTGAAAAAGTAATTTAAAAATTGCCAATAAAAAAGGTCCAGGACCAGATGGATTCACAGCTGAATTCTATCAGACATTCAAAGGAGAATTGGTACCAATCTTACTGAAACTATTCCAAAAGATAGAGAAAGAGGGAATCCTCCCTAAATCATTCTGTGAAGCCAGTATCACTCTAATTCCAAAACCAGGAAAGGACATAACAAAAAAAGAAAACTACAGACCAATATCCCTGATGAATATAGATGCAAAAATCCTTAAGAAAATACTAGCTAACTGAATCCAATTGCATATCAAAAAGATAATACACCATGATCAAGTGGGTTTCATACCAGGGATGTGAGGTTGGTTTAACATATACAAGTGAATAAATGTGATACAGCACATCAACAGAATTAAAAACAAAAATCATGTGATCATCTCAATAGGTTCAGAAAAAGCATTTGACAAATTCCAGCATCCCTTTATGATCAAAACTACCATATATATACATATATATACACATATATATGTATATATATGTGTGTATATACACACACACACACATATATATATACACATACACACACACACACACACACACACACACACACACACACCATGGAATACTACTCAGCCATAAAAAGGAATGAAATAATGGCATTCACAATTACCTGGATGGAGTTGGAGACCATTATTCTAAGTGAAGTAACTCAGGAATGGAAAACCAAATATTGTATGTTCTTATTTATAAGTGGGAGCTAAGCTATGAGGATGCAAAGGCATAAGAATGATATAATGGACTTTGGGGACTTGCGGGGAAGGGTTGGAGGGGGATGAGGGGTAAAAAACTACACATTGAGTACAGCATACACTGCTCGGATGAATGGGTGCACCAAAATCTCAATAATTATCACTAAAGAACTTATCAATGTAACCAAAAGCCACCTGTTACCCAAAAACAATTGAAATAAAAAAATTTCTGTAACTCTCAATAAGTTAAGAGCAATGTTTATTTTTAAATTCCTTCAGTTCAAAATCCTGTTTAAATTTTTGAGAGATTTTATCTTCCTTTAATTTGATAACATGTGGCATTCTGCTTTGAAAATGGTTAAAATATTTTTAAAGCTTGCTCAGAATGGTTGGGTAGACCTGTTAAATATTTTAGAGGATGCATTTCAATCATTTGACTGTACCTCAAACACAAACATAACCTCCCTTAATCCTTTCCTGTTATTTTATTAATGTAGAAAGGGAATTCACAAAGCTGGAAGTTTAGAAAAAGAAGCTGAACTCAGCTGTCATTCAAAATCTGACTTTCATATTTCCTAATCTCCTTTTTTCCAGCATCCTTTCCAAGAACCACTGTAAGTAAAACAGTGCACTAGACCCCTTTAAATTTGAAGAAATTCAAATAGTCACCCACTCCATGACTGTAAACAATTGACTCTCATCTCAGGCATCAAATTCATCTATTACAGTAGAGGTTTAAGTACTAACCCACTCAAAAGAATCTTTCAGATTTAGTAACTCAGAGGAGTTACAATAACTCAGTGGGAGAACTGGTTGAGGTCTTTGTTCTAGTTCTGATGAACTAGTGGCACTTCCTGGCTCAGGTCATCATGGAGCCAAACTCTTTCCCTTCCAGTTCCAGCGCAAGTCTCACCTACTGGCACCTGCCTGTGGGGACTGCTCCCTCCTCTAAGCCCATAGCAGCCCCTAGTCTCTCTTCTCATCACATGGCCCTCAGCTTATCAGCTTTCTCTAGAGACTGTGCCCTAGTTAGATTGCATGTTCTGCAGACACCCGTGCTCTCCCACTGTCCTCCATGTCTTGCCCGCAGCAGATGCTTACTAAGTGTCTATTCACGATGTCATGGTTTGTGACATAGTGATGGTGATTCCTATTTTTAGAGAGACCACTGAGATGTTGCAGGCTTGGTTCCAGACCACTGAAATAAAGTGAGTATTTCAGTAAAGCAAGTCACACACATGTTGGTGTTTCTCAGTGCATGTAACAGTTATGTTTATGCTACACTGTAGCCATTAAGCATCATGTCCAAAAAACAATGTACATACCTTAATTTAAAAATACCGTATTGCTAAAAAAAAAAAAAAAGTGAATGATCATCGGAGGCTTCAGCAAGTCATAATCTTCTTGCTGATGGAGGGCCTTGATTCTATGTTGATGATTACTGACTGATCAGGGTTGCTAAAGGTTGGGGCGGCTGTGGCAATTTCTTGAAATAAGACAACAATGGAGCTTGTAGCATTGATTGACCCTTCCTTTCATGAACGATTTTTTGGCACTATGTGATGCTGTTTGATAGCATTTTACCCACAATAGAACTTCCTTCAAAATTGGAGTCAGTCCTCTCAAACCCTGCTGCTGCTTTCTCAACTAAGTTAATATAATATTCTCAATCCTTTTTGGTCATTTTAAGAATGTTCACAGCATCTTTATCAGAAGTAGACTCCCATCTCAAGAAACTGCTTTCTTTGCTCCCCCGTAAGAAATCCTAGATGGCATCTTCCAATAGAAGGTTATTTCGTCTCCATTGAAAATCTATTTGGCCTCCCCCTCCCCCTCCCCCTCCCCCTCCCCCTCTCCCTCTCCCTTTCCCTCTCCCTCTCCCCACAGTCTCCCTCTCCCTCTTCCTCTCCCCACAGTCTCCCTCTCCCTCTCCCTCTCTCTCCACGGTCTCCCTCTGATGCCAAACGGAGGCCGGACTGTAATGCCGCCATCTCGGCTCACTGCACCCTCCCTGTCTGATTCTCCTGCCTCAGCCTGCCGAGTCCCTGGGATTGCAGGCGCGCGCCGCCACACCTGACTGGTTTTCGTATTTTTTTTGGTGGAGACGGGGTTTCGCCGTGTTGGCCGGGCTGGTCTCCAGCTCCTAACCGCAAGTGATCTGCTAGCCTCGGCCTCCCGAGGTGCCGGGATTGCAGACGGAGTCTCGCTCACTCAGTGCTCAATGTTGCCCAGGCTGGAGTGCAGTGGCGTGATCTCGGCTCGCTACAACTTCCACCTCCCAGCCGCCTGCCTTGGCCTCCCAAAGTGCCGAGATTGCAGCCTCTGCCTGGCTGCCACCCCGTCTGGGAAGTGAGGAGCGTCTCTGCCTGGCCGCCCATCGTCTGGGATGTGAGGAGCCCCTCTGCCCGGCCGCCCAGTCTGGGAAGTGAGGAGCGTCTCTGCCCAGCCGCCATCCCATCTAGGAAGTGAGGAGCGCCTCTTCCCGGCCGCCATCCCGTCTAGGAAGTGAGGAGTGTCTCTGCCCGGCCGCCCATCGTCTGAGATGTGGGGAGCGCCTCTGCCCCGCCACCCCGTCTATGATGTGAGGAGCGCCTCTGCCCGGCCGCGACTCCGTCTGGGAACTGAAGAGTGTCTCTGCCCGACCACCACCCCATCTGGTAGGTGAGGAGTGTCTCTGCCCTGCCGCCCCGTCTGAGAAGTGAGGAGCCCCTCCGCCCGGCAGCCGCCCTGTCTGGGAAGTGAGGAGCGTCTCCGCCTGGCAGCCGCCCCCTCCAGGAGGTGGGGGGCAGCCCCCGCCCGGCCAGCCACCCCGTCCCGGAGGGAGGTAGGGGGCAGCCCCCGCCCCGCCAGCCGCCCTGTCCGGGAGGGAGGTGGGGGGCGCCTCTGCCCGGCCGCCACCCCGTCTGGGAAGTGTACCCAGCAGCTCATTGAGAAGGGTCCATGATGACGATGGCGGTTTTGTCGAGTGGAAGGTGGGGAAGTGTGGGGAAAGGAAAGAGAAATCAGATTGTTGCTGTGTCTGTGTAGAAAGAAGTAGACATGGGAGACTCCATTTTGTTCTGTACTAAGAAAAATTCTTCTGCCTTGGGATGCTGTTAATCTATAACCTTACCCCCAACCCCTTGCTCTCTGAAACATGTGCTGTGTCCACTCAGGGTTAAGTGGATTAAGGGCGGTGCAAGTTGTGCTTTGTTAAACAGATGCTTGAAGGCAGCATGCTCCTTAAGAGTCATCACCACTCCCTAATCTCAAGTACCCAGGGGCACAAACACTGGGGAAGGCCGCAGGGTCCTCTGCATAGGAAAACCAGAGACCCTTGTTCACATGTTTATCTGCTGACCTTCCCTCCACTATTGTCCTATGACCCTGCCAAATCCCCCTCTCCGAGAAACACCCAAGAATGATCAATAAATACTAAAAAAAAAAAAAAAAAAAAAAAAAAATTATCACAGTAATTCCATGAGGCAGGGGACTCTACGTCCATTTCAGGGGCTGATAAACTGAGATATAGAGTACTTAGGTAACCTACCCGAGTACACACAGAGCCAGAGCGTAAACCCCTTCTCGCTATTTCCAGAGTCAGGCTCTTCGCCACTTCACCATCCTGCATGTCAGGAAAATGAAATATGAAGAAAATTGCCAATTCTTCCATTGTTTTACTAGAAGATAACTGAGCCACTGACTGAGGCTCTCCTGTGCCCACTAGCTCACTGCTCTGACTGCGTTTTATTGGAAATTTCAGCTAACTCTCACCACCTCCCACTAAACCGTTTTCCTGAGGGCAGAAATCCATCTTCCAGCTGTGAATCAGGATTTGCCACAAGAAACCCCTGCCTGCCTCCTAACACCTGCCATTCATTAGACACTGAATCCGGTAGGGCAGTCCTGGGATCTGAAGGTCTTTAGATCGCCAGGGCCACGTTTCTGGGAGGCTGGTGTATTTGGAACCGCCCTGTCATTCTGGGAGCCCTGTGCGTCCCCAGCTGCCCTGCGGAGTCGCTGTTAGACATTGTACACCTGCCCTGCACCCCGGATGCAGACTCCGTAATTCTTCAGGTCAGCCCCAGTTCATGCAACTGACTTTTCTCAATCAAAGGCATTTGCCAAGTGTTCAAGGATTATTACAGCGATTTATTACACTGAGAAGACTTTTCATCTGGATACATTTGCAAGTCAAAGAAAACCGTTTCTTAGCCCACAGGTCTTAATCACTTTGTTAATTTTAAAGCAGCTGTGACCTTAAAATTCAGTGCTATCAGTAAAGACAATATATAGAGACAAAGACAGACAGAGATAAAGACAGAAAGAGACTAATGTGGAAAACACATTTTAATTTTTTTAATTAAAACGTATTTTAGGCCAGGTACGGTGGCTCATGCCTATAATCTCAGCACTTTGGGAGGCTGAGGGAAGGGGGTATGGCTTGAGCCCAGAAGTTCAAGACCAGCCTGGGCAATGCATTTCTCTAGAGACCCATCTCTAGGGGAAAAAATAAAAATAAAAAATAAATAAAAATGTATTTGAAATAGAAAAAAAAAGAGAAAATGTCCATAAGCAAATAGTGGAGGAAAAAAAAGTCACCCTGTTCAGAAACAACTACCTTTAGTGTTTTAATGTATACCCTTCCAGATATTTTTGTCTGCACATGTATTTATATAAAAGTGAGATTATAGCTGCCACTTTTAACCTGCATATTATTATACCATTCTTCCAGCTTTCCATGCTTCTTGTCATTATTCTCACTGTACTTTACTGGAATTTTCCATCATGTTTTTTGACCCAAAAGTATTCTATAAAATGAACGTATCCTAAAAAAAAAAAAGAAAATCTATTTGGTGTAGCCACCTCAATGCTCTTAGCTAGGTCTTCTGAATAACTTGCTGCAGCTTCTCCATCAGCACTTGCAGCTTCACCTTTCACTTTTATGTTATGGAGACAGCTTCTTTCCTTAAAACTCATGAATCAAACTCTGCTGGTTTTAGACTTTTCTTCCACAGCTTCCTCACCTCTCTCAGCCTTCATAGAATTGAAGAGAGTTAGGCTTTGCTCCGGATCAGTCTTTGGCTTAAGGGAATATTGTGGCTGGGTTTGATCTTCTATCCAAACTATTTAGACTTTCTCCATATCAGCAACAAGGCTGTTTCACTTGTTTATCATTCATGTATTCACTGAAGTAGCACTTTGGCCAGTTAGCCAACTGGCGAAAGAAGCCCTGGCTTTTGGCCTGTCTCACCTTTCGACATGCTTCCTCACTAAGCTTAATCATTTCTAGTTTTTGATTTAATATGAAAGATAATGCGACTCCTCCTTTCACTTGAGCATTTAGAGATCTTTGTAGGGTTGTTAACTGGCCCAGTTTCAATATTGTTGTGTCTCAGGGAATAGGGAGGCCTGAGGAGAGGGAGAAAGATAGGAAATGGCAGCTCAATGGAACAGTCAGAACACACACTTCATTTATCAATTAAGTTCACTGTCTTATATGGGTGTGATTTGTGGCACCTCAAAACGATTACAATAGTAACATCAAAGATCAGATCGCCATAATTACAGATCACCATAACAGACCTAATGATGATGAAAAGTGTGAAAAATTGCAAGAATTATCAAAATGTGACACAGAGACCCAAAGTAAGCACATGCTGTTGAACAAATGGTGCCGATAGACTTGCTCAATCCAGAGTTGTCACCAGCTTTCAGCTTTCAATTTGTATAAAATGCTGTCTTCTAAGCACTAAGACAAGGTACGCTTGTATTTTGTTATGGGGGAAAAGCTATGTTTGGAGAGCATTGGGGCAAATTAGTCACTAAGGCAGCTTGAGTTAATCAATGAACAGTCTTTTCTTCCCAGAATATGCAAGGATCTTTTCAAAGCCTAGAAACAGGAGGCATTTGGTTTTGGTTTGGTTGTTTCTGCTCTGTTTTTCTTTTTATAGAACATAAAAAGTAATTTTTCAAGATGTACCTAGGCATTGAGTTAATGGAATGTGCCTATTACCTAAACCTATTCCAATGTCTTAACTATGAAGAAACTCGGTATGTGGTGATAGAATAAATGAATAACTGAACTGGTTTTGGAAATGTCAACTTAATTCAGAAATTCTACATTCAGAATGGAATTTTTGAAAGTTAAACTATTTGAATTAATTCATCTATGTACCGTTTTCTGTCCTCTGTTATCTAAAATAAAGATTAAATAACATTCAAGTTTCTATGTTTAGCAGTTCCTGTTGTTTGAATCCCATGCAACTGTTTTCATGCTAAGATGTGTTCATGCTGCACAGGTGACCCATGCATTTGTGCGCTGGGAATGGAAATGATTGAGGCCATTGCTGGCATCATTCACTAGGGAGAGAGTCTTGTTTCTCCAGAAATACAAAACTGAGAGGACAAGCTCTTGGTAGAAGAGAAAAATATGTCTGTTGGGCTCACCTGTAAAACCTTATTCAGAAAGTCGGCTTGGGCCTCCTGGAATAGGAATGGTGCTATATCTCAAGACATGCTAAGGAAAATAAGGGGAGAGAATTCTCACCCTCTTGTGTCCTGAGCATTAAAGATAGAGCAGTTTCCCCTGAAGGCAGCATGGAACAGCAACCATTGTCAAAGAGAAAGAAAGCCAGATGCTAATTAAAGGCAGTGAGATGGATTTTCTCCAGTACTTCTGCAGTAGGAGAGAGACCCCAGTGTATACTGAGCTCAACTTTATGGAAACTAAAATGTAGGAGTCCTCATAAGCACTGGGAGCTACTAAAGGAAACATACTGAAGGGCCTTAAGGGATGTGATGAGGCCATCTGTGTGTGCTAACTGGTGCTTATTGAAATTAGGTTCCTAGCCTCCCCCAGAGACTGGAAGATGGGGGCTTAATACTTCTCAATGATTACATGTCAAAGAGATGGCTCCCAGGTCTCTGGAAAGACGTTCCTGGGTTGTAGAAGATACATGTACATCTCAAAGGCCCAGAGAAAGGATTTACAATTGTAAGCTTTCTAAAGTAAATGCTCCAAGAAAAGGGAATTTAGGGGTCTATTTTCAAGTGTTGATTAGAACAAACAGCAAATATTTTTGGTGGTGTTGAACCTTCTCAGGCAGGCATTTTAAGGTTACTGGGATTATCTTCCTAGGGACATGGCTTTGAGCTGCTAGAAACTGTGGTAGTGTTTGTTCAAGTCCCTTAGTGTTGAAAAGTGGGTGAAATCATTTGTACTGAATGTTGTAGTTCTTACAGGCCAAGGTTGAAGCCTAGTTGGAAAGAGACCTCAGAGGAACTGTCTCAAGTTTGTTCAAGGAGAGAGTCTTTGTCACCACCTTGGGAGAAACTCAAAGGGGAAAATGAGTGGTTGTCAGAGGCACCTTGGCCCAGCCACCCACTAACTAGGTGCATTTCCTTCCAGTGGTGACCTTGGAGCCTTCGATTGTATGTTCATGAGGAAAATGTTGTTTCCTTATATACCAAAAAGCATTTGTTGAGTGACTTCTGTTTAAGGATGCACTTCCTGGCTGTCTCCTGACATTTTCTTGTTTGTCAAGTTAAATATGATCTTGCAAGGAAGAGTTAGGACTTAGGGTTTCACATATAAGCTTACGTTGATTTTCATCCATCTTGAGCTTCTTTAGATCAAGGATCAGAAGCTTGAACATGACATGGAGCCATGAAATAATTTTTTTTTACATGAAAGCCACAGTTTTATACTTAGTTAGAGAAATCATATCAAGAGGGTTAATTTTGCTATTTGCCTTTTTTTTTTTTTGCCCAGAGTTTGAAAGCTTGTTCCTCTTCTACTTTTGAAAAAAGACCCCAATTTTCAAAGTTCTTTCCTTTGGGTCTTCTACAACAGGGGTTAACAAACTATGACCCATAGGCCAAATCCATCCCACTGCATATTTTTGTAAATAAAGTTTTATTGGAACGCAGCCACATACATCCATTTGCATACTGTCTGCAGCTGCTACAGATGAATTGAGTCATTTCCACAGAGACAGTGTGACCTGCAAAGCCTTAAGTATCAGCTGTTTGGTCCTCTTCACAAAAAGTTTGCCAACACCTGCTCTATTTATTCACAAATTGTTTTTTCCGTTGTATTTATATTTTCTGTCTATTGGAATCTGCTTGAACTGGAAGGCTTACAGAACTCATATTGTACCTTTGTATTCCCAAAAAACTTTCATTTGAGGAACTGAACTTGAAAGAACAGCATTGTTTCAAGCCCCAGTGAAGCTTCAAAGACAGAGGTCAAGTCAAGTTACATACCAAGCTAAGCTAAGCAGGTTTCCTCATTAACTAGAAACTTTGATTGGCTCACATAATTAAAGACTTTCATCACACACAACAGAGGAAGATATAAATAATTTCAGCAAAGCTACTGTTCTTCATTAATTATAAAGAAATTTGTGGCTAAGTCTCTATTTTGAAATTAAAAATAAAACCACAATAATAAAAACCTTCATTTCCTTTTCTGGAAAAAAAAAATGCAACCCTTCCTCCTAACTTACTCATGCTTTTGACAAAATTCATCTCCACTTTCCCTTTGCAGAGAATTCAAAAGTCTTATAATCCAAAAGGGTCAAAGGAGGACTTTAGTTTGTAATATTATTGTTTCTGTGCTCTGAGGTGAAGAAAGGGCAACTTTTAAAAGTATTTAAGCTCACAGCCAAATATATGTAATGTTAGATTCTCATGATCTTCCTCTCTCTGAATTTTGACATATTAAAACTAAGTGATCACTTCATATCCCTAGGATGGTTAAAAACACAGATAATAACAAATATTGATGAGGATGTGGAGAAATTTGAACCCTTGTATACTGTTGCTAATCAAAATGGTGCAGCTGCTCTGGAAAGCAGTGAGGCATTTCCTCAAAAAATTAAAAATGGAATTACCATATAACCCAGCAATTCCACTTCTGGGTATATATCCAAAATAATTGAAAACAGTATCTCGGAGAGAGAGATGCATATCCATGTACATAGCAGCATTGTTCACCAAAGCCAAGAGGTGGAAGCAACCCAAGTGTCTATTGACAGATGAATGGATTTTAAAAAGTGGCCTATATATACAATGGAGTATTACTCATCATTAAAAAAGAAAGGAAATTCTGACACATTGTATAGCACGGATGACCCTCGAGGACATTGTATTAAATGAAATAAGCCAGTCACAAAAAAGACAAATACTGTATGATTCCACTTAATGAGACACCTATCATAGCCAAGCTCATGGAGACAGGAAGTAGAATGGTGGTTGCCAGGGCCTGGGTTGTAGGGGAATGAGGAGTTACTGTTTGGTGAATACAAAGTTTTCGTTTTACAAGTTGAAAAAGTTCTGGAGATGGTTGCACAATGATGTGAATCTATTTAACACTGCTGAACTGTGCACTTATAAATGGTTAAGATGATAAATTTTCTTATTTATAGTCTACCAAAATGTTTGTAAAAAATGAAGCTGTCAGTACCATGGAACTAATAGTTTTGATATAATGCATGACAGAGTCCAGACAAACTTTCTATTTAGCCTCTATCTTCATGGTTTCACAGAAATTAATTTATCTATTTAGCTCTGTCAAGTGACAGGATGTTTTAATGAGGGGAGAAATCAAATCAAGTTGATTGATCTGTTTTCATCACTTGTTCCTATAATATTGTGTAGAATATAACCTCGGGCAAGAGTTTCTAGTAACCCAATGGTGAGGACCAGCAGAGTCCCTTTTATGAGTATGCCAGAAAGAAAAAGAAAATGGGTTTGACAGTTTGCATTTGCCTTTGAACACCATTGAGATCAGCTGGGTTCCCATCAGCCCCATGGCCAAATCCTTTATCCCCTCCCTAACTCCAGCCAAGATTGTACTAAGAAGCAGAATTTGAATTCTAAATTGCTGCCTTGGCTCAGACCTTTACTCAGATCAACCCAACTCAAATCAACTGGGGGTCAGTCTCTAGAACTAAGAAATTGCTGGACAATATTATGGAACAAAGCTCCATTCATGATGTCCTAAAGAACCTGACTCAAACAAATGAAAGAAAATGATGTCTGCTATTTTTATTTGTGAATTAAGGATTGCCTGTTCGTCAGCTTCCACTATGCGTGTGACATTTATTTCAAAATAAGTGTAAAAATACTCGTCAAAAACAAAATCAGAAGTTGCAGTCACAAAAAACTAGTGGAGAAGTCTGGGTGCTCATTTAAGGAAGCAGTGTGCTTCCTGCCCTGTCTCGCTGCCTTGTCATTACCGTGAGGATGATGGCGTTCTGTAAGATCAAGAACGCTTCAACTAGAGCTTTGAGTAGCACTGTGCTTTTAGACCTTTCTTCTCTATTTTCTTTATTCCACACATGTTTAGATTTCTTCTTTCTTTTTTTTTTTTTTTTTTTGTTGTGCTTGTTTTTCAGCTTTTTTCAATTGCAGTTAGGGTAAACATTTGATTCTCAAACCTGCCACTTAAATATTCTGGGATTGTTTTTTTCCATGATAGTATGCAGTTACTAAAGGTTGATTTTTCCCAAATACAGAAGAATAATTCATTGCCCCTATTTGAGGATAATGGATATTTTCCACACTATTTTTATCATTAAGTGATAAATGCTGGGGTGCAATCCAGCTAAACCCAGACCCTGCTTCTGGTTGAAACGTCTTGCCATGCAAGGGGAGAGGGCTGAGGCTGAACAAAACACAATGTGCTTAGTGTGCAGAACGGGAAAGCACATTTCTAAATTACTTGGACATTAAGGTTGAAGGTTTCATTATTCAATTAAAATAAAAGCAGTTGAAAGAAATTTAAGAAGAAAAAAGAAGAAATAGAAAACACAACTACTGTCTGCCTCCTGGGTTCAAGCAATTCTCCTGACTCAGCCTCCCCAGTAGCTGGGACTACAGGCATGCGCCACCACACCTGGCTAATTTTTGTATTTTTTGGTACAGACAGGGTTTCACCAAGTTGGCCAGGCTGGTCTTGAACTCCTGACCTCTAGTGATCCACCTGCCTCGGCCTCCCAAAGTGCTAGGATTACAGGTGTGAGCCACCGCATCTGGCCGAGAATCCAATAGTTTTACTTTGGGTATGTGTATGTACTTGTCCTTTAGGTGTCATATCTAAAAAGCCATTGCCTAATCCAGGGTCATGAAGATTTACACCTGTTTCTTGTGAGAAGTTTATAGTTTTTGCTCTACTGTTTAGGTCTGTGATTCATTTTCACTTGATTTTTTAATATAATGTAAGGTAGGGGTCCAATTTCATTATTTTGCATGAGGATATTCAGTTGTCCTGATACCATTTGTTTAAAAAGTTCTATTTTTCCCCTTTGAATTTTCTCAGTACCCTTGTCAAAAATCAATTGACCATAATATGAGAGTTTATTTCTGGATTCTCGATTCTATTCCATTCATCTCTATGCCTGTTTTTATGCCAGTACCATACTGTCTTGATTACTGTGGCTTTGTAGTAAATACTAAAATTGAGAAGTGTGAAAAAAAAAAGAAAACACGACTACTATACCTAATGAACAAATTGTATTGGTAATTAAAAACCTTGCCAAAAGAAAACTTTAGGCCCAGCTTCCTTCATTAATGAAGTCTCCCGGATATTTAATAATGAAATAATATTAGTTTTACACAAACTGACTCTAGATAATATAAAAAGAGGAAAGTGCCCAGCACAGAAAGACACACTTCACATGTTCTCACTTATTTTGGAGAGCTAAAAATTTCAACAATTGAACTCATGGAGTTAGATGATAGAATGATGGTTACCAGAGGCTGGGAAGGGTAGTTGAGGGTAGAAAGGAAGGGAAGTGGAGATGGTTAATGGGTACAAAAAAATAGTTGAAAATGAATAAGAACTAGCATTTGCTAGCACAACAGGGTGACTATAGTCAATAATAATTTAATCTTACATTTAAAAATAACTAAAAGTATAACTGGATGGTTTGTAACTCAAAGGATAAATGCTTGAGGTGATAGATACCCATTTACTCTGATGTGATCATTACACATTGCATGCCTATATCAAAACATCCCACATATCCCATAAATATATACAACTACTATTTATCCACAAAAACTTAAAATTTAAAAAGATATATAAATCGTTTTCTTCTCGAACTGTGTGTGCAGATATCTCCTGGGGATCTTGTTGGAACACAGATACTGATTCAGTAGTTCTGGGCTGGGGCCTGAGATTCTGCATTTTAAAAAATGTTTTTACATTTTCAATTGTGGAAATTTGCATTTTAAAGTAAACCTTCAAGTGATACTGCTACCCCTGGTGCTCAAACACTTGAGTGATAAAAATAAATATAAATTAAAAAATAAAATGAGGAAAGACTTCCCAACTTGTTTTAAAAGACTAGCATAAATTGGATTCCATAACATGGTAATGATACCATAAGACAGAAAAATTACAGGCCAATATCTCTCATTATATAAACATAAAAAATTTATATAAAATATTAGGAAATTGAATCTGATGATATATTTAAAAGGATAATATGTCACAGTTAAAGTTGGATTGGTCCTGTGAATGCGTAGTTTTTGTAATATTCAAACTCAACCAATATTATTTATACTGTTAGCAGAATAAAGGGGAATATCTTATGATCAATTCATAGGTGCAGATAAAATTTAATAAAATTTTACATTCATTCTTAAAACTTGAAGGAAGGTAGAAATAGAAGGGAACTTCTAAATTCTGATATAAGTTATTTACAAAAACTAAGAAGAAAACTCACAGTAGATAACAAACTTAATTGTGAAATAATGAAGGATATTCTCCTGAAATTAGAATAAGAAAAGATGGACTGTTTTCACCTCTTCTGTTCAGCATGACACTAGAAGACCTAGCCAGAGCAATAAAGGACGAGAAGGTAATAAAGGTTTAAAGATTGAAAGCAATAAATAAAACCATTATTTGTGAATGACATAATTATGTACCTACAAGATACAATAAAATCTACTCATAAACTATTAGAACTAAATGAATTTAGCAAGATCTCTGGATACAAGGTCAATATATAAAAATAAATTGTATTGCTATATACCAGCAACACATATTGAAAATAATTTTTAAATCCTGTTTTTAGTCACATAAAAATAAAATGAAGAGATGGAGCATATTCATGGACTAGAAGACTCAATATTGTAAAGATGCCAGTCCTCCCTAAATTGATCTCAAGATTCAGTGTAATTCTAATAAAAACCCCAATAGGTTTTTTTATGAAAATTGACAAACTGATTCTAAAATATGTGTGAATTAGCCAAATGTGGTGGCACATGACTGTAGTCCCAGCTGCTTGGGAGGCTGAGGTGGGAAGATTGCCTGAGCCCGGGAAGTGGAGGCTGCAGTGAGCCATGATCATGCCACTCCACTGTACTCCAGCCTGGGCAACAGACTGAGACCCTGTCTCAGAAAAAAAAAAAAAAAAAAAGTATGTGTGGAAATTCAAAGGACCAAGAATGGTAAGAGCAATTGAAGAACCAAGTTAAAGGATGTATACTACTAGATGTTCAGTCTAATGATGAGGCTACAGTGATTAGAACAATGTAGTACAGGTGCAGGATAGGCAAAGATACAAGTAGAAAATAAGAAAGTGCCTAGATTTCAATTCAAACATATATAAACATCTAATTCAAGGAAAAAATTACTGTTGCAATGAAATAGGCTCTGTAAAATAAATGATGCTTAATCAATTGGTTATCTATTTTTAAGAAGCAGTTATTGTGCATATCCTCCGTGAGCATGTCTATTCTGCTTTGGTATAAAAGTCTTGTTATAGCTCAGTATTTCAAGGATAGGCATCAGAATCAACAGAAAATCTGCACATTTCTTCCCTGTGTAGTTCTCACCACCTGAAATGACTCTTGAGAAGTAGCTGAGCAAATATTTGCCTTCCTAAATATGGGTATTACCTTATCATATATGTATACAAGAAGAAAGTTAAATTATACATTTGTGACTTATTTCCTCTGAATAGTTTAATTTTTTCCTAAAGTAGGAGAGTGCTAATAATAACAGTCACAGCTGATTGAGTTTTATGTTTAAGGCAATGTGCTTGGTCTTCATATGTGAAATCTCATTCAATGACAATTAACTGCTAAACTTAATAAAAATGATTTAAGAAGTGATCACAGTTTATAAATGTTATAGACTGAATGTTTGTGCCCGCCCCACCACCAAATTCATATGTTGGAGCCCTAACCCACACGTGGCTGTATTTGGTGTAAGGAAGTAACTAAAGTTAAATGAGGTTATAAATGTGGATCCCTGATCTGATAGAATTAACGTCCTTGCAAGAAGAGACACCAGAGAGCTCTCTTTCTCTGAGCACACGAACCAAGGAAAGGCCTCGTGAACACACAGCAAGAAGGCAGCCATCCGCAAGCCAGGAAGTGAGCCCTCATCAGAAGCCAAAAGGGTCAAGATCTTTATCTTGGACCTCTGGTCTTTAAAACTGTGAGAAAACAAATTCCTGTTGTTTAAGCCGGTCTATAGTGTTTTGTCATGGCAGCCCTTGCAGACTAATATATCAAGCCAAAATTCTGCCTAGGAGAGAGCAAAATATTGTATCTTTAGTTCTTCTGTATATACACGAAAGCCTATCTGTACAAGTTTGTTCATTTGCAGATCTGCTTGACAAACTGTGGGCCATATCCCTAGCTTGTAAGGCTTAAAAAGGCAGTGATAATGTCATCCTTAAGTGTTCTCACAATGGAATCCCATGGCTTGGGTTCAAGTGCAGCTCTGCAACTTGGGCAGGTCATGTAACATCTTCTTTATCTGTCGTGTGGATAATAGTGCCAACCTCTCAGAGTTGTTGTAAGACTTACTACATAAAGTACTATGTGGAAAGCACAGAGTGCATGGTTCCTAATACATAATAAGTGTTACCATGGTGATAATGGGGAGAAATCAAGTCTTCACACAAAATGTCCCCTTCAGGCAAAATATTTGTCTGGATAGACATCTGACATAGCTATGCATAGTTATGATTTTTTAAATTTTGGTTCAAAATTATTAGCTAACTTTCTTCTAACCATAGATAATAAGAACAACCAAAAACCCTCAATCTAACACTGCTGTCTTTCTCTGTCTGATAAAAAGTCAAAGCAGTAAGAATGTAAAACCTGACTATCTTAACACTGTCTTCTGAAGATTTCATTGCAGCAGGGTTGATCCAACCATGAGTCAAAAAGCAAGCCGCCAAGCAGGCAAGCTTATTTCCATTAACTTGGCACCACAAAACACTTTGAACAAGGGTGCTATTATCTTTTAGGTAACAGGTGGTAGCTGGGATATTAAGCCGTTCTGGGCAGGATTTCAGATTTCCATTCTTCAGTGCTTTGGGCAATACACTTCTATCATAAAGCGATCAATAATAATTAGGTGTCTGGAATGAAATACAGTACACCATTATACTTCCTACATCTGGAAGGAGAAACCCACTTCACTAGCTCTGAATCAATGAATTTTCTTTTTATTCCTGGGGGGAGTGTTAAAGGCAGCAGAGAACAGGGTGGAAATGTGAATTGTGGATCTGAGCACAATCACAAAAAAATTAGATGTTATGATACACCCTCTTACAAGTAATACAAGCAAGCCCCAGAGCATTGAGCGTTTGTGTCTAACATCAACACTTTCATCACATGACATTCTCTTTCACTGCAGGGTCACCTGTTTCACATTTAATGAAAAAGTCTGTCCTAATAGGTGATATATATGTGAAAGGACAAAGTGAAGGTTGTACGTGGGGCTTAACATAGTTTATTTTTCAGATCTTAGTTTTATCAAGTCATGTTTTACCACGTTCCCATAATAAGGGACCAATAAATGGAGACGGAATTATTTCTCATAATTCTCAGAAAAGACAACTGATATTTATTCTGTTCGAATTTGATTTGAAGTTCCCTGTGCAGGTTGGTGCAGAGAGATAGAAAATGGAATCTGTAAGTTGTAACATAAATTTTCCTCGGTGCACTCCCAAGAATATGCAGCCTGGTCCTTGCAAAGCTATCTTCTCTCAGTTGCTTCTGACTTGTCACTTTAAACATGGTCTTCAAGGATAGTCAATCCTATTTTCCAAATTCAGAATCCTTACTTCTGTAAAATTACTCACCTCTAAAACTTTCTGCTGGCTTTCTTCCCCCAATACTTCAAGTTTCCGTCTTGCTCTCTGGAGACTTGGAAAGAGACTAAGCAAGTGTTTGTTAAGAGCAACCTTCTGCACTCTTGTCTGACCTATTTGAAGAAATGACCAGGAAAAGACTTATTGTGGCATTTATTGCCTTATAACCACCCTTTCTTTCATTAACAGGAGTTAGTTTACTGGCCAGCTGCATGATTTCATTATATGATGACTGAGTGTTTTATTCCCCCTCAGAAACTATTGCAATAGTACAAAGAAGCAGAGTTAGTAACAATGTCGTTTAATTTTTTTTATGTGGGAAATAAAATATAAATTGAGAAAGTGGGTTAAGCATCAATATACAGTTTAACAGTTGGTCATAAAGTGAACACCGTGTAACCACTGCCCAAGTCAAAAAAAGTAAATATTGCCAGCACCTGGAAGCCCCTTAATGTACCTTTCTAATTGTAATTCCCCTCCCCACCAGAGGTAGCCACTGTCCTGATATTTTATTGTAATCATAGCCTTCCTTTGCTTTGTAGTTCTAAAGCTTAGAGATACATTTCTCTAAACCATATATTGAGTTTTTCTGGTTTTTGAACTTTATATAAATGGAACCATAGTATATGTGTTCTTTTGCCTTGTTTTTTTTTTCACTCAGCATGGCTTGTAAGATTCATTTGTGTGTTTACTGGTTTTTTTTTTTTTTGAAAATTTGCAAACATAAGAGAAGTTGAGAGAATTGTATAATGATATAACTATATATGCTATAATTGCATTGCCATCACATGACTAAGATTTGCCTATATCAATTGCTTTTTCCTTCTGAAGTGTTTTAATGTAAATTACAGACGTCTGTAATCATACATCTCCAAAAAAAATAAGGAAAGTGTTCTGTGTAATCCAAGACCATTATATGTAGCAAAACTAATTATAATTCCCTAATATGATCTAATACCCAGTTCATATTCATATTTACCTAGCTGACCCCAAAATGCTTCAACAGCTGGTTTGTTCAAACTAAGATCCAATCAAAATTCATGAAGAATGCACTTTTGACAGCATGCTGAAAATGAGGCTGTTTCCTTCCTTTTTTTTCACATATACCTACTCAGTTAACAGAGCTCCCATAGGACCTGACTTCAGGTACTTATCCCATAGTCAAGAGGAAAACAAGTAGGCTCCTCTGTGTTAATGACATGGTCTACCTCATACTGTATCACTCCAGAGGAAAGTATGCTATCTGAATTATTTTCAGAAGACAAGCCTAATAGAAATGAAATCAAAACCAAAATTGTTATCTTGAGGAGATACTCTGTAGTACTGGGCTGCTTGAGCTTCTTCAGGAAGTCTATAGCTTTCTTTATTAGGGGAATGCACATGAGGGCTGGCCCAGCCAAGGGAGCTCATTGGAATGCAGGTCTCTACTGACTGAAGTTTCTACCAAGACCACAGGAGTGCAGGTAGGTAGACGGTTGGTCATTCTGATCTATTAGGATCTTCCAGGTCATCATGTCTTCCTAACTTGATATTGCTGGACTTAGGGTTTTCGGTTGTGTTTGTTTCAAATGTTTACCAGAACATTTGAATGTTTACCAGAACATTTGATGAAAGAGCACGGCCCCTGCTGAGCGAGCTGACCTCCCTGGTGCCTTTTTACAACAGAACACCTCATTTGCTTTCTGCAATCTGGTATTTAGATCAGCATCTCCCAGAGGCTTTTTCTCAGAGCACCAGCCCCATGGTACTCCATAAAAGGGTCATATTGTCCAACGAACTGGGGAGGAACGGTGAAACTGAGTTACACTGCTTCCTTTATTCCAAGTCTTCTCAGGGCCTTCAGTGTGCTAATGAACATGGTGATTCTCCAGCAGTACATGGCATTTCCCAAAATTATTTGTGCACAGAACCCTTTTCTCAGAGCATCTCTGTGGGTTACTATTCTGCAAAAACAGACTTTAGAAAGTGCTGATGTAGATGACTTGGATATAATTGCAAACCATAGTAAATAAAGTCTCATCTCGTACCTCATGGGCCATGAAGAATTTATCCAGGCTCACTGTGCAGGTTTACACAAGTAGAGTGGTTGGGCGTCTGTGTTGGAAATGAGGGATTTTGTTCACGTCGACTCTGCTAAAGTTCCTACTGTGATCATGGGGGAGGGGCTAACAGAGAGCAGAGATCAGGATCTATGCTTATTGTCTTGCAACAAGGACAGTGAGCCCTCAGATTTCAAGCTTGTCCAACCTGCAGCCCCTGGGCCACATGCAGCCCAAGACAGCTTTGAATGCAGTCCAACACAAATTCGTAAACTTTCTTAAAAAGTTACGAGATTTTTTTTTGCGATTTTTTTTTTTTTTAGCTCATCAACTATTGTTAGTGTTAGTGTATTTTATATGTGGCTCAAGACAATTCTTGTAATGTGACCCAGGGAAGACAAAGGATTGGACATCCCTGATTTAGATAGAAGTTCCATGTGGTTTGGATTTTTAGAGAGGAAAAAAGTTCTAAACTGACCTGCCTCTCTCTGCTTTTGAGGATCACTTGGCCTTAGTTGCCAAATATAAAAAGAATTTTCTGGCTGGGCACAGTGGCTCACACCTGTAATCCCAACAGTTTGGAAGGCCGAGGCAGGCAGATCATTTGAGCCCAGGAGTTCGAGACTAGCCTGGGCAACATGGCGAAACCCCACCTCTACAGAAAATACAAGTTAGCCTGGTGTGGTACCGCATGCCTGTCCCAGCAACTTGGGAGGCTGAGGTGGGAGGATCACTTAAGCCTGGCAGGTGGAGTTTCCAGTGAGCCAAGATTGCACCACTGCATTCCAGCCTTGGCAACAGAGTGAGACTCTGCCTCAGAAAATAATAATAATAATAATAAATTTTCTTTCATTTTGAATTAGTGATTCGATAAGCTTTCCTTGGATTATCAAGTAATTGAAAACCCTCTTACCTAGTAATAACTGGGTTACTGGCAAAATGTTTAGATATTCATGGTACCTGAGGTAGTGAAAGACCCAATATGTGGTACTCATACAAATTGCCTCTAGATTAATATGACTTTTTATTGAATATGTTTAGCATATCATGTTGTCTAAAATTAGACATTCAGAGTTGCATTCTTTTTTCTTTTTTACATTCCTTTCCATTTTCAACATATCATTAGATTGACAACCTTATTTATTTTCTCATTAACTTCCTTATGACATAAAAGATGAACTGATATTTGCCACCTGGTCTTTTGAAATGGAAGACCACTAGGTTTTTCTCATTGCTCCCCTTTCTCCTCTTTTATATATTGTTTATATAAACTTAATTTTGAAACATCTCTTTATCTTAAGAAAGCATTTTTCTCTAGAGATAGCATAAATGTGGATTGATTGTTTCATTTGGAATCCTTCTAGGCTATAGGTGTTGCATCACACTAATACGTGGGTTGATTATTATGTTTTGAGTCTTTCTAGGCTGCAGTTATTGTATCATATGAATAATTCTCATTACTCATGAAGCCAGATGGGAAGTGGAGGCATGTTCTAGGTTCTGGAGGCTCATTGCATTTGTCACTTGTAGATTTCTAGCCTAAAAAGTTCCTTTTACTGGAGTTGTAAGATTTACAAAGGATAAAAGCTATAGATTTGACTTGCAAGTAAACTACTCAGCAGTAAGCTACCACAAATTTCATCATTTCTCAATTGCTTTTCCCCCTTCAACTTTCTATTCCCTTCAGAATGTAATTTAAAGGCAGTTGAGCAGAGAATTCAACAGAGATAGATTGTCCTGGAGAGAAATCTAAATAAGTTTCTGCTCTGGTAATCTGAGCAGGACCAAATGACTTGTTCTAACATCAATATTGCTTTTTCTCCAACTTCTTCATCTTTACTTCATCAATACTTAAAAGTCATGGAACATAAGAGTTTCTTTCTTCCATCAGTACTGGGAGCACATAGAAAATACCCGGCCCAGAAATTGTACATCTAGCTATATATTCTAGAAAAATCCTTATACATGTTTACATGAGTGCCTGAACAAGTATGAACACAGTAGCGATGTTTGTATGCCACAATGTGGGAACAACTTAACTTGCCTTCAGCTGCAGGCTGGTTAAATAAATCATAGTACCTACATCCCATGAAATGGCATGCAGTACTCAAAAAGAATGAGGTGGGAAGAGCTATGGAACCATTTGATAAGTTAGAGGAAGAAAAAGACTTGTAGAACAACATGCATAGAATGATTTCATTTATGTTTTTAAAATGGTATTTGTATATGGTCTGGGAAGGTATGACTGTTGCAGGGGAGAGGCGGGGAAAAAGATGGAGGCAGTAGTGGATTTGATGAGTTAGCCTATGGAGGGAGAGAAAGTGAAAAGGACTGTTTTCTCTTGATTTCTTGAGTTTTTTACAGTAAAATATTTTCATGTATTATTTTTATAAATAAGTGTGTGTGTGTGTGTATGTGCAAGACATTTTTTTAAATGCCCTATTTTTAACAAATTCATCTAACCTAGGTATTCCACCAAGGAGAATGAGCCCATCCAAGATGCTTATTTTAAATTCATCAATGTCAGGCTGGGCGCAGTGGCTCACACCTATCATCCCAGCACTCTGGGAGGTAGAGGTGGGCGGATCATCTGAAGTCAGGAGTTTGAGACCAGCCTAGCCAACATGGTGAAACCATGTCTCTACTAAAAATACAAAAAATTAGCCAGGCGTGGTGGTGGGTGCCTGTAGTCCCAGCTACTTGGGAGGCTGAGGCAGGAGAAAGGCTTAAACCTGGGAGGTGGAGGTGGCAGTGTGTCAAGATCGAGCCATTGCACTCCAGCCTGGGCAACAGAGCAAGACTCCGTCTCAAAAAAAAAAAAATTCATCAATGTCAAAGAGGCATAGGATTCCCTGGCTCATCACAAATTCATATGGAAAGGGAGACTGGGAAAATACATTAAGGAGGTATCATGGGGAACTGGCTTTCGTAAATACAGCATAGACTGACATGGTGGCTCAGAAGAGGAGTTTAAAAAATGACTAAACTAGAACTACTGTCACTGTTAGTAGAGGTGGTCTTTGGTCCTTTATCTCCAGACTGCTCATTTCTAAAGTACTGGCTCACATACAGACAGATTTTAGAACAACAAAGTGGAACAGAAAGCTGTGAGAATTTCCCTAGTTTTCCTGTTTTTTCCTTCTTTACAAACTAGTGCAAAGATTGGTGTGTTTTAAACTGGAGATTTTATTATTCTTCAGGTATGGTGAGGCCAACAGATAAGAAGACAACTGCCATTGAAAAGATTGTTTTACTCCCAAATCCCAAGAGCAAGGGGCATGCCACCCAAGCAGGGCCACACAGGGGGAGGTATGGGAGGAAAATGTGGGCGTGAGCCTTGTTTGTGGTTTCCATGGGAAGGAACAGGCAAGACAGAATAAGCAGGCTTAGGATTGGCCAGCAGGAACACTTTCAGTGGGCTCTGTCACATAGGGGTGGTCTCTAGTCATCTAGTACCGGCCCTGGAGTGCTGAGGACAGGTGCACAGCGACTGGGAATGTACTAGCTCATTAAAGGAGGTGGTCAGGACTGTGGGCTCTGAATAGATTCATTTGGATGTGAAAGGCACATTCAAAGAATTCTATTCACTCTCTCTGGGAATCAGCCAGCCACAGGAGAGGCAGTCCATCCAGGGTCGGCAAGGCTCCGAGGTGTCAGAGCATCAGTAATACAGAATAAAAGTGCATGGTGAATACACAGTGGTAAAGATGCAAGAATAGCCATGCCTTTTGAGGTTTCATGCCTAGTTTTTATATTAAGGCAGAGTTTGAAGGCAAGTTTAGAGAGCCTTCCTTGGACATGCCAACCTTTAAATACAGTTTCTTGGGGCCATTTTTGGCTATGTTTGGCACTCTAATTGAGAAATCATTCTTCCAGTCATATTTCAGGCAAGTGAGATATGCGAAATCTCTTTTTTTACATGTCTGGATCTTGTCAGCTAACATTGTTGGTCTATAAAAGCAAAGCACAATTTGCTTTTTTGCTTTCTGTCTTCAGGCTTCTCATATGTTGGTTTTGAATTGTAGACTAGATGTTTCTAGAAGTAGTCTTTGCACCTTTGCTGGTTTATGTAGTTCTCTTTTGGTGTTTCAGTTGCCAGCATCACATTGTAAAGCCTCTGATGGTTTTCTGCATTGACTGCAGGCTGGAAATTTGGTTATTTTCTAAAGATCAGGGAGTTGCCTTGGCCACCTTCTAAGCCACATATTCATTTTGGGGAGAACTAGACTCCGGATTTTTCTGTTTTGGTTCTACTGATCAATTAGGTGTTAGAGGTTTAAAACATTGCTGAAAAGAAATTTACCTTTATATGCTATATTTCTAATTTTTCAATTTTAATGTTGGCCTCCTAGCTTTTTGTGACCTAAAGTTTATTAATTTCTTAGTCTGCTTAGATTTACTATTTTCATTTTTTTAACTAATGCTTTTGCTATTACAGGCATTTTTCTTTAACAACTTTATTGAGGTATAATTTACATACCATAAAATGAACCCATTGTAAGTATATTTCAGTAAATGATTTCAGTAAATTTAAAGGGTTGTGCAGCCATCACTGCAATCCAGTTTTATAACCAAATGGTTTACACTGAAGCATCCCCTCGTGTGGACACTTGGATTTTATACTGCCCTGTATTTTATTTTATTTTATTTTGTTTTTTGAGATGGAGTCTCACTCTGTTGCCCAGGCTGGAGTGTAGTGGTGCAATCTCAGCTCACAGCAACCTCCACCTCCTGGGTTCAAGTAATTTTCCTGCCTCACCCTCCTGAGTAAGCTGTGATTACAGGCCACCACGCCTGGCTAATTTTTGTATTTTTAGTAGAAATGGGGTTTCACCATGTTGGCTAGGCTGATCTTGAACTCCTGACCTCAAGTGAGGCCCACCTCAACCTCCCAAAGTGCTGAGATTATAAGCTTGAGCCATCGTGCCCAGCCTGCCGTGTATTTTAATAACTGTATAATATCAGAGTGATTTTTGGATTTGAGAATAGGTTTTCTTGTTTTAAAATAAGTCCTTCTGACTTTATTTTTTTATATAAAAATAATATCTGCTCTCATGCTTTTCCAGCACCTCTAGAAATACAGATGTTTGCTTAAAGGGATGGATTGCTTTGTTCTGTTCACTTTCATTTTCTACCTCCCAAAGACCAAATACTCCCAGGCAGTCAGCTCACCCTCACACCTCGGTTCTCATTTAGCTGATTTATCTTATCCCTGCCATCCGTCGGGCTGGTACATGACACATCACACCTTCTCCCTTTCTCGGTGGCTCACTCCTCTTCTTCTAAATTCTTTAACTTTTCATAATTCCTTCTTTTTTCTTCCTTTTTCATGTTTGTTCTACCCAAAGCCAAAATTATTGAGGAAGGAGGGTCAGACCATACCCAGTTTGTGAGAAGGGAAACCATTGTATTTTCTTTTTTCCCCATATCAACCCCATTTCCCGCTGTGTTTTACGGGTCAGTCATAAACCAGGTCCAATGGTTGTCCCTTTGCACCAGTCAACCCACAGTATTTTACTTCCTGGAGCAGTGTTGAGCTTGTCCTAGTGTAAAAGTTAAAGCAACTTCATCTTGGATGCTAATCCACCATGTTGGCTTCTGATTAACCCCAGGTCTTAGAAGGCCTCTGAGATTTCCAATTTATCTACTGTTCTTTGTGCAAGAGCATGTACTTACCGTAAGTGCTGCCCTTAGGTCAAAACAACCTTAATGTTACCATGCTTCGGTTGTCCTACACTTTCTTTTCAATCATGCAGACCCTTTCCATATAGTATATAAGCCCTGGGTCTGGGAGAATAATGGCCTGGGGATCCACTATCTCATCTCACTGCTGCCCAAGACCCAGCCCTGGCTTCTGTTTGTGAGTCCCTAGTACAAATTCAGAAGATTAATTTCTCAGCTTTTCTTTGTCCTCTCAGCTTCCTCAGACATGGGGGGTAAGTGTGCATACACCTGCCTGCTGCAGAACACTTTGACCCCACTGAAACTTAGCTCCGACTTTGGAAGAGCTGCTTAAAGTAAAACCAGAAGAGAGGTGTCATGCATACCTTGTTAAGAGAGATGGTAAGAAGAGAAGAGTTCCTGGCTGGGCACAGTGGCTCACGCCTGTAATCCTAGCACTTTGGGAGGCCAAGGCGGGCAGATCATGAGGTCAGGAGTTCGAGACCAGCCTGGCCAACATGGTGAAACCCCGTCTCTACTAAAAATACAAAAATTAGCCAGGAGTGGCAGCAGGCGCCTGTAATCCCAGCTACTGGAGAGGCTGAGGCAGGAGAATCACTTGAACCCAGGAGGCAGAGGTTGGAGTGAGCCATGACCATGCCTCTGCACTCCAGCCTGGGTGACAGAGCAGGACTCCCTCTCAAAAAAAAAAAACCTGAAGATTTCCTTACAGGGAAGAAAGAAGCTCCTGAGAGTAAAGTGGAATTATGTCACTTTACTATGACTTTCAACCCAAGTAAACTCAAATCAGATTGCCTTCTGTTTTTAGAGCCTTTTTGTTTTCCTATACATTATAATCATTCTCACAATGATGTTGCGTCATGGAGAAAAAGGGAAGAGCATTAAAATCTCTTTCTGCCCTTCCACTTACAGCTGTGGTACTCTGAGTAAGTTCATTTTGCTAGGCCTCAGGTACCTCCTTGTAAATTGGGAATGATTATACTTTACAGGATTGTGGTGAAGATTAAGTTAAGTAACAATTTTTCATGCTTCTCAAAATAATCTGTGCATTCGCTGTGGGCTCAGGGTTCTATACCAGGAATGGACAAAGCCATAGAAGAAATAAGCCATCTCTTTCCAGCATGTCACTTTAACTTGGAAATTGGTGGTGATGGAGCAGGAGTATTTTCTTATTTAAACTAAAACAGATATATTATGTGATTTCTACATTTACTTTTAAAGGAAACTTAGGACGTTAAAGAAATGTACTTTCTTTAATGCTTGGCATGGGCAACTTTGAGTCATACACTTGGAGCCCCTAGTATTCTCCCTGTGTCATAAGGAATGTTTCCATGGAAAAGTTTGAGAAGCACTGGTGCGTGAAAGCATCTGGCATAGTCTGTGCCACGTAGCACATTCTCATTTAACTTCCCATGTCTGTTTGATGAAGTATCCAACTGCATTTCCCTAGCACATGCTTGATAACGTCTCTTGGATGTGGCTAGCATCGAACTTGTCATGCATCCTCCAACCCCGATTCTCACCCCGTATTCCCTGCCTTAGTCATGGACAGCACCGTCCATTGAGTTATGCAGTCAAGAACCAAGGTATCCTCCTTGGCCTTTCTCTTTCCTGCATATCCCTGTCCAAGCTTTAACATCTAGTTGTGTCTACATTGCCACCTTCACACGTCTTGGGTGCATCTTTTGTCACTGTCAACAGCATCTTCATTTCAGCTACCATCATCCCCTGCCTAGATGCCTGTAATCACCTAGTCATTGGCCTCTTTCCAATCCATTCTCTATATTAAAGTGAATGTTCATCTTTCATATTCTCAAAGCTGTTCATTTCTTCCCATTGCTCTTAGAATAACATGGTCCATGAGGCCTTTCATGGCCCAGCCTCCTACCCCATCTCAAACATTCTTCATCTGATGCTGGCAGCTGCAGCCACACCAGCTTTCTTTCTGTTCCTTCCTGGAACCATGATTTCTCCATCTAGAGCAGGCTGCTCTATCTGGAGCATTTCCCTTGGCCCCTACCCAGCCCCCCTCAGCTCAAAGATCTCTTCTTCAGAAAAGCCTTTTCCAACACCCCAATCAGGGACAATATTTACCATATGCTCTGATAGGAACTTGTCCCTTTTCTTAAGGAGGACTGATCTTAACTTGTGATCACACATTAAGTAATATCATCATTTGATGATGGTCTGAATGTCACATGAGTCTGTAAACTCTATCACGGCGATGGCTGTCTCTTTGGTCACCATTATTTCCAGCCCCAGCCGGTGCCTTTGACCATGGACAGCAGATCCACAGTTGTTGAGTGACAGCTGATGTCCAGATGGCTGAGTGCTTAGCCTGAGAACATCCACATTTCTCTTAATAGCTCAGGATCTTGGACCTCCAAGTCCAGGGTTCTGCTCACCTCATTGCAGATCTTCCTTTAGCGCTGTAGACCAGGTCTCTCCACTTTAGTCTGTGGTTTACAACACCTAGGAAACCTCATTTTGTTTAAGAGAAATCCGTTTTATTTATGCGGTTAAGTACAGAAGGGGAAAGCATCTCTTTATATTCGGATGGCTTTTTGTCACCCAAACATCTGTAACAAACCCCGTACTTAAAGCCCCCCTGCTTCACCTTACCTGTCCAGTCTTCTTCCGCTGTGCTGCTGTGCTGCTTAGCAGATCTTTTCTTTTCTTTTCTTTTCTTTTTTTGAGACAGAGTCTCCGTGGGTTGCCCAGGCTGGAGTGCAGTGGCACAATCTCGCTCACTGCAACCTCTGCCTCCCGGGTTCAAGCAATCCTCCTGTCTCAGCCTCCCAAGTAGCTGGGACTACAAGCATGCGCCACCACGCCCAACTAATTTTTGTATTTTTAGTAGAGATGGGGTTTCACCATGTTGACCAGGCTGGTCTCAAACTCCTGACCTCAAATGATCCACACACCTCGGCCTCCCAAAGTGCTGGGATTATAGGTGTGAACCCCCGCGCCCGGCTGCTTAGCAGATCTTTTCAAATCAGGCAGAACTTTCTAACCTAACTGCATGCAATTCCCTGTCCCTTCTCCAGCCCTTCCCCAAGCTCTGAATAGAACATCTTTTTGCCTTCCTGCCACCATATAATGTCATCTGGTTTGACAAATAAAACTCTTGAACCCCCACACAAACACTGTTTCCATGTTTCCTGCACCCAGCTTTCCCCCTTGTCCTCCCATATAGCCCTCCTGCCGTCACTTCTGTGGGTACAGATTTATGTCTCTATTTTAGGATTAATATGTTCTCTGTCAGCTCTACGTGAGTGCATTCTAACCTAACATTTATTTTTCTCCCTCATATCACTTAATTCATTGTAATTTCAGAGAGGGAGCTAGAACGTAACATTTTTAAAATAGTAAGTTCCAAAATATATAATTAGTGATTCTCAGCCGAGTCATGCCTGAAAATAACCCAGAGAGCTTTTTTATCACAATGGAGATGTCCTGGTCCCACCCCGGACCTATGAAATTGGAATGGCTGGGCTGAGGCATCAGTGTTTTCCCAGTGTGGCAAAGTGACTTGACTAAGGTCACTCGACTCATGTCCCATAGCTTAGAGGGTGGCAGAGTTAGAACCACAATCCTTGTTGCTTGCTTTCTTTCTAGTTCTTCTTCATATTCTTTGGACTAAATTCCGTTGAGGGCAGTGTGTGTTTAATTAATCTGTATCTGAATTTGTCTGCATAAAGTAGTTTCCTTATTTTAAAGCTGATGATTTTCCCCTGAATATGTTTTCAAAGGCTGTGGAGGTTGAGTCAGTGTGTACCGGAGACTGCGCCAGCTGCTGGAATAGCCTTCTTTCCTCCCCACGTTCGCCTGTGTCCCTCCTTTGAGCCACAGGCCTGCCTCTTGGGCAGCCCCTCATTTCCTCACTCCTGGGTTGTTTCTACTTGATTTGCCCCCCAGCACACCCACTGTTACCTCTTCCTTCCTCCAGCCCCGCTGCCACCTTCCCAAGCACTTGACCTAGGTGCATGGTGGGGCCATGGTGGAGGTGCACTGGGTAACTGAATGGTTCCTTCTCCATTTGGCTGTTCCAGCTTGGAGCCTAAGAGAAGAAGGCAGTGGAGGGGCCGTGCCATGGAAGCCACCCCTACCTTTAGACAGTATCACCTCCGGACCTTGGGAGGCCACACCAGAGAACTTCTCAGAAGATATTTTCACACCATTTTTTAAAATAGTTGGAAAGCAACAGAATCCTCAGTGAGGCATGATCTCTATGAACTAGATCATTGAAACAGCAGTCCCTCCTGGGAGGAAGTACCATGTTCAGGAAAGTTCAGTAAGACATGAGGTTTGGCTGACATCCAAGGTGGCATTTCTAGCATTGAATCCCAGTTCCTTTACTCAATAGCGATGTGACTCTGACAAGTTGTTGAGCTTTTCTGTGCTACAGGTTCAACCATAAATTGGGGTTCAATTAAATAAGAACGCCTACCTTGGCTGGGCACAGTGGCTTACCCCTGTAATCCCAGCCCTTTGGGAGGCCAAGGCAAGTGGATCACGAGGTCAGGAGATCAAGACCATCCTGGCTCAAACCATGAAACCCCGTCTCTACTAAAAATACAAAAATTAGCTGTGTGTGGTGGCATGTGCCTGTAGTCCCAGCTACTCAAGAGGCTAAGGCAGGAGAATCGCTTGAACCTGGGAGGCAGGGGTTGCAGTGAGCTGAGATCGCGCCACTGTACTCCAGCCTGGGCAACAGAGTGAGACTCTGTCTCAGAAAAAAAAAAGAATGCCTACCCTGTCATAGGTGGTAATTTGAAGATTATTTGGAAGCTTAAATGACATCATCTGATTAAAAGGTTTATTATGATAGTATCAAAACATATTAACTGGTATGTCTCATTAGCTCACATTAGCAAAGCACGATTTACAGAAGCTTTCTCGTATGTTACATTGCCATATGTGTTAACATAGGATCCTTTAGAAGACAACTTTGTTACCTACTCACATCTGCCTCCCTGTTTGTCTTTTGTTTGTAGCCCTGGAAAGGAAAATATCTATGAGGCAAAGCAGAGAAGAGCTGATAAAGCGAGGAGTCCTGAAGGAAATCTATGATAAAGGTAAGGAGGATTGGTCTGTCATCCCCGGGTCAAAGAGTCATGCGTGGAATCTGCATGCATATTGCTTGGAGTTCCATTTCATTTTCTGCATCACCAGATATCAGGATTTGAACCATTAAAACTCCAGACAGTTCTAGAGAGAAAAGAGAACATAGCAGACAGTGCTGAAGCTGTCAGCATCATATGAGACGAAGGAAATAAAACTCCCTTTTCTGAGCATTGGAATCAAACCACAGGAGGCTAAGCAAAATGATGTGGCCCCGGGAATGATGCAGGCACTGGTTGTGAGTCTGTTGGCATGCAAATACACACGACCAGGGTGCAGTCACCTGTTTAGGCCCTTTCAGCAACTAAGTATTCCCAAGACAAGTGTGAGAAATCCATACTCATCTAGGATTTCCTTAACTTGTTTTTGTTTGTTTGTTTGTTTGCTTTTGGTGGTCCATCTTGCCACAATAGAATAAATTGAAGGAGATAAATTTGTGATATATGACTGTACATTTAAGATATTGGAAATGATAATATTATGGTGCTTCAAATGCTCTGTGAATGTGTCCACAGATATTTGCTGGTGAATACCACGTGTCCTTTGCTTATTGAATTATTGCCTTTGAATATGAACGTATGCAGTGAACTACATGGCATATGAAGTATCCTTCACTCCTCTTTTCTAAGAGCTTTATGGTATTTTAGTTTATTATGTATATATTTTGGAGACAGGTTCTTGCTCTGTTGCCCAGGCTGGAGTGCAGTGATGCAATCACGGCTCACTGCAGCCTTGACCTCCCAGCC
Source organism: Homo sapiens (assembly GCF_000001405.40). Classification (NCBI taxonomy): domain Eukaryota; kingdom Metazoa; phylum Chordata; class Mammalia; order Primates; family Hominidae; genus Homo; species Homo sapiens. The sequence continues at coordinate 13,161,077 of NC_000006.12, forward strand.
TCAAGGGATCCTCTCGCCTCAGCCTCCTGAGTAGCTGAGACCACAGGTGTGTATCACCACACCTGGCCAATTTTTGTATTTTTGTGCAGACAGGGTCCCACTATGTTGCCCAGGCTGGTCTCAAACTCCTGGGCTCAACAATCTTCCCACCTCAGCCTCCCAAAGTGCTGGGATTACAGGCGTGAGCCACCGCGCCCGGCCTTTGCAATTTTCAATTGAACTTGCATGCGTGCACCTTCTCTTCTTGCTCCTCCTTCCTCTTCTTCCTCCTCCCTCCTCTCCCTCTTATCTCTTTCTCTCACTCTGAGGACCACACTCCCTCTGTTAGCGCTTTAAGTGAAATAACAGACTGTCACTTCCAATCTTGTTAAAATCATCAACAGTGATTTTCTATGTCAGGTCTTCTGATTGTTTCATGCAGGTGTTATCTGGTGGGCCAGATTATTAAATCACATAATATTCTACTTTAACAATCTGTCCTGATAGTCAAAGTGGTCCTGTAATCTGCCGACGCAGTCCATTTGCTGTGTTTTTGTAGGTCTTCTACATGCCTCGTGTGTTCTACTACAACGAGGCAGGTGGTACTTCTGGGTTCTGGCGCATCTTTCAGACTCCACTGTTTTGTGGGTTGGTTCTTATTCCTCTGGTGAATCTGACCTCCTTCATTCTTGTCATGGGCCTTCCCCGTGGTACTTTTGAAGTATTTTCTCTTAGCACAAATTACTAGCCTGAAATGCAAGAGAAAAGTGGCCTAGCTCTTGCCCTGCCCTGGTGGCAAGGCATAATGGAGGCAGAATGTGAAGGTGCATGATTCCAAACTACGTTCTGTCATTATCAGAACCTCCTGGGGTCAAGCAAGCCCTATGGTAAGCCAGCTTTATCCATCGATTTCTGTGTATGACCATACCAGCATACCACTTTTTTGATGGATTAAGCTCTCCAGGAAAAGAATCCATACTTTTCTTGCATTTCTTCAATGTCTTGCTGCCTGTATGATCCCCCAACCCTCCCTTGTTTTGTTGTTGTTGTTGTTGTTGTTTTGAGACAGAGCCTCCCTCTGTCGCCCAGGCTGGAGTGCAATGGCAGGATCTTAGCTCACTGCAACCTCCGCCTCCTGGGTTCCAGTGGATCTCCTGCCTCAGCCTCTTGAGTAGCTGGGACCACAGGTGCGCACCACCATGCACGGCTACTTTTGTTTTTTTGTTTGTTTGTTTGTTTGTTTGTTTTTTAAGTAGAGATGGGGTTTCACCACATTGGCCAGGCTGGTCTCAAACTCCTGACCTCAGGTGATCCACCCGTCTCCGCCTCCCAAAGTGCTGGGATTACAGGTGTGAGCCACCGCGCCCGGCCCCTCCCTTGTTCTAACTTTAAATCTCCATGCTTCATCATAAGCTCCTTTCCCCATATTCACCCCCCAGGAGAGATGGAAAATGTTTAACTAAAGGTATAATATTATATAATAAGCACCCGAGTGCTTAAATAAATATTATTGTTACAGCCAAAACTTGTTCAGATCCACTTAAACAATCCCTCTTCTCCCTCAGGAATATTCTGAAGTAGAGAATACATGTACAGTAGCATTTATTATTTCCGTTACATCTAATAACTGGGTTAAGATAAGAATTGCCTAAGTGGCTTCCTGACTTATAAAAAGAAGTCACAAACTGTTGGAGCAAAAGCCTCATTTGATAGGGAAAGAAACAGGATCCCTGAGACTGGAGGGTCCCTTAGGCTGCTCTCAAGGAACTCCAGACTGTTGGTGCCCCAAGTCCTCACCAACAGTTAGGAGTTCCCTGAGAGCAGGCGCTGTGCCTCTGTCACACTTGCTTCTTTCTCCATCAGCACACATGGAGCTGACACAGGACCTGCACTCAGTAAGTGGCTGCGGGCCGGGCTCGGTGTCTCACGCCTGTAATCCCAGCACTTTGGGAGGCCAAGGCGGTGGATCGCTTGAGGTCAGGAGTTCGAGACCAGCCTGGCCAACATGGTGAAACCCTGTCTCTACTAAAAGTACAAAAATTTGTCGGGTGTGGTGGCATGCGCCTGTAGCCCCAGCTACTTGGGAGGCTGAGGCAGGAGAATCACTTGAACCCAGGAGGTGGAGGTTGCAGTGAGCCAAGATTGCACACTGTACTCTGGCCTGGGCAACAGAGCAAGATTCTGTCTCAAAAAAGGAAATAAATAAGTAAATCTGTACATACATACATAAATAAGTGATTGCAGAGGGAAGGACCAGTCTAGTCCCCACATGTCACTTGTCACCACAACTTCCTGTTTTACTTTGATCCTTGCACTTATCACTGTCTGTTCTTTCTGTTGTTTGTTGACTGACTTTGCTCACTAGCACATAAACTGTAGGAGAGCAGGGGCCTCAGAGGCTGCGATTCCCCAAGCCCCAAATCATGTCTGATATAGTTTAGATGCTCAAAAATGTTTACTGTTTGGATGTTGGGAAGAGGAGAAGAAGAGACAGGCTAAAATGAAAACTTCGTTGCACATAGTAGTGTATAGGTTTGTGTTTTCTATGGGATTTTCTGATAAAAGCACTCATTTTGTATCTCTGTGGATATTAATCTCATTGCCTCATATTATAGTATATCTACAGTTAGGAGCATGAGCCCTGGAATCAGTTTCAATTCTAGTTCCACTGTTGACTAGCTGTGCAACTTTAGTCAAGTTGCTTGACTTCTCTGTGCTTCTCTTGCTTTATCTGAAAGTATGGGTGATGTTGTGATGAGGATTACAGGAGATAGCACATATGAAATAGAACAGTGACTTTTTTATAACAGTGACTTTATAGCAATCTATAAATTCTCAATAAGGGTTAACATGCTGTGATTGTTGGTAGTCTCATCATCATCATCATTGTCCTTTATATTTTCTTCAAACCTTTTATGTGCCTCACCCTAGGTGACCCTATCAACAGGCCCAAGAATTCAGAAGAGTGGACATCACTGTCCCCTTTTGTCTGAGGATTTAAAAAGTACAAAGATCTGTGACCTCCTCAGAATGGCCTTCGTGTCAGTGTCCACCGAGAACCCGGTCTTCTGTATCCGAATTCGGTTCCACCTGGCTTTCCTCTTAGCCTCTAAGCAAGTCATTTTCCTGTCATTTGTTCTTCCCTTTCTATAATATCATTCTTTTTCCTGTATCTGAGATTCGGGGGGTAAAGCAAATAGAATTTTATTGCCGCAACCTGATGAACGGCAAATGGCAAAGAGACTTTCTTTTTTTAAGTTGTTCATTTCAAGGATAAATCTCATAGATTCGGAGCAATCATTCCATATTGCCTGGCTGGTCATTCCTCATTTTGCACCATCTCCTTGTGTTAGCGCACATGACTCTAGCTAGTTACCGGCAGCAAAATCGTTTCCACCAGCGATGCATGGACCCTGACAGCTGCCGCATTGATTTGTAATGACTGTGTCAGCCTGTCCACCTGCATGCAGCCTCCAGGCCCCACCTCTGTTTGTGCCGCAGTTATGCTGTTTGTGTGCACGATACTACTAATGTGGTGGAAGATAATTTGTCTTTAGTAGGTAGGATTTTCCCTTCCAGTGCTTTTTACATTATTGATTTTGCCTGATAATGCCCCACTTGTTCATAGAAACCATGAAAATAAACTAGTGATTTGAGAGTCGTAATTATTTGGGCAGAGTACACACAAAATTAATGAGGTTTTATTACTCTGACAGTTCTCAAAATTCTTTCCATTTTCCTTCATGGGTTAAAATCCCAAACTGGTCAATGAATTTAATTCAGGCAAAATGAGAGCTTGGGTCTAAGAAAAGTAATCTCAAATGTCGACTGAACCGGCACAGAGATTCCTCATTTAACAGAGTGTGTTAGACAAGAAGAGCATAGTTATTCAACAGCTTTTTTTTTTATTATTGGCTTCCATATTGAATCACATAATTTTACAATCCAGAGATTTAGATAAAAGTTTTAAAATCAGAGGAAATAGTTTGATCTCTAGATATATTGAGGCCAGGTAAGAATGCAGCACACTTTGAAAACCACATAAAAGGAAATTTTAAATTATGTTAGTTGTGATGGTAGCATGGACAGAAAATTATAGGTTCTTTTTTTCTCATTTTCCTGATTTTCTACAATATGATTGTTTTATAAAGAACACAACTTAAATGTTAAGGTGAACTGCCAACACTATAAATAGTAAAAATGTTAAACCAATTAATGGTGTAAAATAATCTATAGTTCGACAGTTTATTTTTATTTATTCCTCAATCTTATGACCTATTTGCTTAAATTTGAACTTAATTTAAACAAACTAAACAAAGTTTAATTAAACAAAGTTCTCCTTGGCTCCCGGGCTATGTATGTATTTATTCATTCAACAAATTGGCACCAGGTGCTCCCTCCGTGCCAAGGAGTTGCCTCGGTATGGAGCTACAGTGATAACCACAATTGCAAAATCTTACCATTTCAGAGTTTACCTTCTACTCAGAAATAGGAAATAATACATATAGTATTTGTTGCCAAGGAGTGATGAGCGCTCTGAAGAAAAATGAAGCAGCAGGATAAGGAAATAAAGTCAAGCGAAGGGGGAGGGGGTTGTGATTTTAGGTCAATGCAATCATGGAGGACCTCTTGTGGGAGGTGATATTTTCACAGAGACCTAAACGAAGTGACCGAGTGGCTCAAACAGGGGCATGGGCACCCAGATTCTGAAACCTGGTCCTACTACAACTTTAAGGCAACTTGTAACTTCATTCATGAGCCCTTAAGTTCTTCAGATTGCCCCGGGATGTTTCTTTTCAATAAAGGCCTCTCTGTGGCATTTGCTTCTCTCTCATTACCCTGTAAATCAGAGCCTGTCACTGCCTGCTCAAAGCCTGCAGTGGCTCCACATTTCACTCAGAAATTCCAGGTTTCTACAACAGCGTAAAGCCCTGCATGGTCTGCCCTCCAACCCCTAACTTTCGTTTTCACTCTCTTCATCCCTCCTACAAACTCCCTTTCCCTGGTGCCACTTCAGCCCTGCTTCCTGGCCCTCGAGGTTTGCGTTGGCTGCGCCTTCTTCCAGAAGCCTCTTCCCCCAGATATCCAGATGGCTGGCTCCTCTTTCCAGCCTTGGCTGAGGTGTCACCTTCCCAGTGAAGCTTACTCTGCGACCACCAAGTTTAAAATTGCTGCCGCCTTCTCTAAGTTCTTAGACCCCTTACCCTCCTTCTTCCTTTTTTCTTCTATCTCTTATCACCTTCCACCTTCAGACGCCTGTAAATTATGTATTTATCATGTTAATTTTTTCTTGCCTATCTCTCCTCACTTCATAAGCTCCACCAAGCAGGGCAGGGGTCTTCGTCTGATTTGTTCCCTGTTGTAGCCCAAGTGTCTATAGCAGTGCCTGGGACAAAATTGATGTTCAGCAAATGCGAATAGAAAGCAATGAATGCAGGCATGAGGTAATTTCTGCATGTTCACATGACTTGGTTTATTCACTGCACCGGCGAAATCCAGAATACTAAGAACACTGATCCCCCTTATTTATTCAGTTTTATGGTCCATAAAACTTTATTGCCAGTTATTTAAATAGGTAATATTATATTATGTATATATTTGTATACATGGATGCCAAATGCCCTACTTTCAGATAGTGTCTTTAAGTGGTATGGGAAAAATATAGCAATGTCAGTCAATAGTATAGTCATCCCGAGGTATACGCAAGGGATTGGTTCCAGAACCACCTCCCATACCAAATTTCGCACATCCTCCAGTCCCATAGTCAGCCCTGTGAAACCCATGTATACAGAACATCAGCCCTCCAAACACAGGTTTTTCAATCTGTGTTGGGTTGAAAATAATTCACATATGAATGGACCTATGCAGCTCAAACCTGTGTCATTCAAGGAGCAACTGTATATTGTTTGGTCATTAATAAAATAGTGATAATATTTCTCACACTTGGCGAGGATCTCACGAAGTCACCTGGCTAGCTACTGATTATTCCAATGTAGGCAGGAAGCAGCTGAAGCCCAGAAAGGTTATTGATGTAACCTAAGTCACAGCCGGTGAGTGTGAACTCTTAAAACCCCTGCTGAGATCATATGTTCTTCATGTGGGATTTATAGGGACACAGGAAGGCTATGCACATTGGTTATCTGAGAATCTTAATAAATATTGCTATTACTGGCTGTTGCAAGTAATCTCTACAAATAAACATGATGCTGTATTTGTAGAATGTTAGGGATAACAGTGGTGATTGTGCTATTTCCATCACTGAATTTCTCTATGAAGCCTCAATTCTACCACAGTGTCACTCACTTTGTATGGTATGGGTATGTGTAATTCACGTGGATGTATCTTTTATTGGGAGGATGGGGAGGGAAAAGAAGACCACTTCTCTACCATCCGATGAAATGACATTTTCCCTGCATGTTAGACAATTCCACACCCTAAATGTGGCAGCCTGCCGTGAGATCAGTGAAGCTGCCGCAGCTCACCTAGTAGTTTCCACTGCAGTCCTACCTAGACCTGGGGGAAGAGGTAATCCTACAGGGAGGGGAAAAGAGATAAGGAGGGCATGTATCCTGCAAGGAAAGAATAAAACTGACAGTGTGCCAGTGAGCAACTTTGCTTTCCATTGTGTGCTGGAAATTAGAGATAACATGCCACAGCAAGTAATAAAGTACATTGAGGTATGTTTTTTTCCTTAATCAGGTTGGAGCAACCTTAATCAGGTTGGAAGGTGTTATTTTTAATTATAAACACAAACAGAAGCTTCCTGAAATGGACAACTCTTTTACACAGGGGTCGCATTTTTCGTCTTCTGACATTCAAGATGAAAAAGCCCAATATTTAAATTAAAAGGTCATCGTATTTTAAAAATAAAAATAAAACTTCTTCTCTGTATTAGAGGAGACAAATGTAGACTCGAGCCTTCTTAAATCCCATAGTTTATCTGGTATTCCAGGTGCATAGACTTCTAAATCTTGACGTTTATAGGAAATGCTTTTCACAGCCTTTACCAGGCACTATTGTTTGTCATGTTTTTAGCTGTTTCTGACGTCTCACCTAGAAATGGCATTTTCTGAAAGCTGTGATTTGGAGTAACCATGTGAAAATGAAAAGAGTGTTTACTTTCAGCATCAACAACCTATAATCATTTGTGTAGCACCTAAGCACTTAATACAATAGGTTTACTTGGACTTGCTTTTTTAACAAAATCCACCTTTGAAAATGTAAAGGTGTTAAATTAAGACAGCTAGAAAGTGGTTTAAACAATAAGAATAAAGAGCAATTGTGATAACAATTCTCTTAAGCAACACTGTTCTTTCAGAAAACCACTATCCCAAACCTAAAGAATTAGTGAGATAATAATTATTATTGTAGTGAGTAAGCGTTCCACATAAATGTATTCATTCATTATATGTCTGTGAGTGCCTGTTGTGTTTCAGGCACCATCCTGGGCACCAGGAATACTAGGAAGGCCAAGCCAGGCGTCTCTGGCTGATAGAACTTACAGTCCTGATGACGGGTTTAGTCTGCTTGGCAGTTACAATGGAGAAAGGATAGTATTTTCAGGTGCATGTGGAAGCATCACCCGCCGAGGCCTGGGGACTTAGGGAAGGCATCTTGGAAGGAGTGGTATCTTAGAGGAACCCTGCGGGGTGAGTAAGAATCATGCTAGAGAAGATAGGAGGGGTAAGGGAATGTTACAAGCTGAAGGACCAGTCCAGTTGGAGGCACGGAGTCAGGAATAAATGAAGAGAAGGGGTAAGAGTGCCCAGCATGTCTGTAAGGAAAGGGGGAGTCAGGACAGATCATGCAGACTGGAAAATTATGTTCATTGTTTATTCTTCATCTTGAGAACAGTGAGGTGCTTTGGGAGGGTTTTCCACGTAATCAGATTTGCAGCCTCATCACACTGCCTGCAGGGAGACTGACTTGCAAGGAGAGCAAGACATGAATCAGGGATACCAGCTAGCTGACCGTTGCTGGGATTCAGAGGATGTGATGGTGGGTAGTGGGGAAAAGGGTAGTAAGCATGGGGAAAAAGAGAGGACAGACTGGAGAGTTCTAGGAGGTGAGGTCTAAAGGGACTTGTGACCACTTAGATTTGGGGAAGTGAGGAAAGGGAGTAGGCAGTGCTGAGACTCAGGATTTGGGCGTGGGCGACTGGGTAGACCATTCCCTGAGCTGGGATCCCGAGAGAAGTGAGTTTAGGACACAAAACATTGTGATGATTTGTCCCCATTGAGTCTCAGATATCCAAATATCTAAGTAGACCTCTAAGTATACAGACATGAAACTCAAGGGAGATCTGGGCTGGGCTGGGCTGGAGATGGTTTGGACTGGTCAGTGTATACATCCTGTAGTCATGTAAATTGATGGTATTTCTCAGAGAGAATGTAGAGTAGGAAAATAAGGTGGCCCTGATAGAAAACTCCATGGAACCCCAACATTTAATGTTTGGGGAGTAAAAAAATGACCTAGGAGTAAGAAGGACCCTCAAAAACTAAGAAGTGGTCAAAAAATAGGAGGTCAACCAAAAATGTGTAGCATTATGGAAGCCAACACAAGAGACTGTTGCTCAGCTGGGGACAAAGTGGCCCACACTGTCAAATGCAGACACATCAAATAAGACAAGGAATGAGAAAAAGATCAGGAATAAAAGTGCCCTTTTGATTACATTTATGCTATTATATAGATTCTTCAGTTACCTGTGAAGCCAGTATGCAGGCAGCAGGGTGTAAGTTAAGATGCTCTAGATGCAGGTAATAAAAAGGTTAAAGAGACTGAAACAATAAGCAAATTTAGAAAGTCTGCAGGCTAATAATTTTTGTATGTTTGTCCTCTAAGGTATCCCAAATGCCTCAAACAATCTTAGAGTTTGTTGGTGCTCATTTCATATTTATTGCGTGAAAGAATGAAACTCACATAATAAAGTCCAATTGTAGGGCAGCTCCAGGGCTGGTTCATTCATCAGCTGTGTACCATGGCTAATGGATGCCATCCTCTGGCTGTAACTCCTCATGGTGACAAGATGGCTGCAGCAATTCCTACATCACATGCGTATACCACAGTGTACAGGGAACAAACGAAGGCTATATCTTCTTGGTATCTTGATGACAGCAAGAAAATTTTGCACCAAAGGTTTTTCAGGATTACCCTCATGTCTCATAGATGAAAATTTGCGCAGATAACCATCAGATATTTTCCTCTAATTTTGACAAATGTTTCCATAAATTTAAGTATTGCAAGTACAGTCACCTGCCTGAGTGCTGCTGCATGATGTAAATTCATATTGGAATATCCACCATGAAACCACCCTTTCTAACTGCTTACCTGGACCCCTCCTGTGAACTCATGGCAGGGCAGGGTACGTGGGGCATAGTGGGCATCAATGCCTCATCCACATGTCCCCGGCCTTCCAATGCTCTATTACTCCCCAGCCACTGACATGCATTGACCTTTATAACTGGAAAGCCAGCCAAACTTTGGGAGTCTAGTAGCTGATGAAGGAAAAGCTGGAAATAGCTTAGAAAAATGTTCCAGATTTCATACTTTTGCCCAAGACTTGTGTAAAGTTAGACAAGTCAATGGGGCACGCCACCCAATTCATAATGTCTAAAAGAACAGTACTCTTGCAGGAGTCCTGAGCCAGGGTTTCCAGTTCTGGCTCCATCGTGTTCTGTCTGTGGAAGATACAGGGCATCTTTTCATCTCTCTAGACTCTGGTTTCTGATTGAATATAACCCCAGGACCCTAGACTGCTGCCGCCAGCAAGGCCATGCTTTCATTTGATCCCTTCTCACTGTTCCCAGGCCCAAGCCTGCTTGATTGAAGGCAGTCTGTTACCAACCGGGTGATCCTCCTAGAGTCTCTGGGAATCATTCCATCCTCCCATGGAATGATGAACTCTTCAACTCCATTCTGGCCCTTGCCTGTCATCTCATAAAGGACATAATCCCGTTTGGGCTTAAAGGACGTAATCCAATGTGGGAAGTTAGGTCATCACCTGCTTAGAGCAGGTACTCGATCAAGGTTAGCTATGGTCTCCACCAGCCACCTGTTCTCCCTGCTCTTCTGCTCTCCTTTCATGCTTTTCTCAAGTCCTCTTCACAGTCCCCACCCCACCCCACCCCACTTCCGCCCAAGTAGAGCCGAGATCCACTGAAGGCTCAGGACTCCTCCAAGGGCCATGTGTGCCTCTGTAGTTCTGTCTCACTGCTCTCAGGGCTCCCACTGTCCATGTGTGCCCTGGAGCTCATCCCCCATCCCAGCACTCCAGGTTTCCCACAACTGCAGTTTCTCTAATAGGACTACAGTACACTGAGCCAGACACTCATTATGGTGGAGATCAGTGTAGCAGCATCATTTTAACCTCTCTGTTCCAGAAATGGATTGACTTTTGCATACATGTAAGGCCCATGGTTGTGATTTTCAAGTCTACCTTGAGCGGTGCTGTCCAGTAGAACTTTCAACAGTAACAGAAATATTCTGTCATCTGCATCGGCCAATGCAGTATCCTCTAGCTACGTGTGGTGGTGGAGCACTTAAAATGTGGTTACTCTGATTGAGGAACTGCTTTGTGAATTTTGTTCAATTTTAACGAACTTGAACACCACTACATGTGTCTAATGAATGCCCTATTTGAGAGCCCAGCTAGAGAAACAGAGCTGTGCAAATTTTGAAATGGCCATCCCCTATAACTTCCCTCCCCCAGCTCTAGCCAATTTTTTTTTTTAGATGGAGTTTCACTCTTGTTGCCCAGGCTGTAATGCAATGGCGCAATCTCGGCTCACTGCAACCTCTGCCTCCGGGGTTCAAGTGATTCTCCTGCCTCAGCTCCCAAGTAGCTGGGATTACAGGCATGCGCCACCATGCCCGGCTAATTTTTTGTATTTTTTGTAGAGACGGGTTTTCACCGTGTTGGCCAGGCTGGTCTTGAACTCCTGACCTCAGGTGATCCGCTCACCTTGGCCTCCCAAAATGCTAGGATTACAGGTGTGAGCCACCACGCCCGGTCAACTCTAGCCTTTTCTAAAATCTTGGATGCTAGGCTCAGTTGGGCTACCCTATTAATGATGAAAGAGGCCCCTTTCACAATGACTGATTCTGTGAGATTCAGACTATCAGATTCCATAGGAGAGAAACTGTGACATTCTGTTCATTTATATTCAATCTCTGCCCCAGTTGCATTTTTTATATCAAAATGCCCAGAAATAGCAAGATGGTAACTCCTCTTTCAGCTACAAACCTTGGAGCCAGAGTCATTGTTTGGAAATAGTGGTCAGAGCCCTGATAGTTCATGAGGATACATCATCTGAGAAACCATGCACTTGGCGTGCAGACTGCTGGGGAGGTATAACCATACCCGGGAGACAGGCACCACACAATTCCATGTAATGAGGCGCTCAGGTTACCAGGAGGCTGAAGGCAGGGGAAGCAGCCCAGACTCCACATGAGCCATGGTTTATTGACCATGAGGTGCAGTCAGAGGCAGCAAATACTAATAAATCCAGCAGGAAACAGCTCCAGGGAAGTGCAGCTGAAACAAGCTACCCAGGGTCAATGTCTTTGCCACTCTTGTGATGGAAAGTCATTGCATCTCACCTATTTAATGTTTTAGGCAAAGGCTTCTCAGCAAGAAGGAGAAGCCTATTAAAATCAAAATAGGATAATAAACTCAGAACAATAACCACAATAACAAAAAGCAAGATGATTCTTTGAGTACAAAAACAGGTACCATTTCATTCCTTGTGTGAAAATATCCACTCCAAGTAACACAGAATCAATTAAATTCTGAGAATGAAAATAAATTTTGCACAGATTTTCAAGGTAGTTGGATTCAGAAGGATTTTGTGAGATGCCTGCGTGAGGCAGAAAAGAACATCACGGCTCTTGCCAGATTGTTCTTGCATATTGGTCAGAATAATCCAAAGACTTGGCTGCAGGTAGGGGTAAAAAAACTGGAAGATTCTCTGACTTGTAGATTCTGAAAATATAGGTTCCCTGGTCCTACAGTCCCCTGTAGTGTCTGCCTCAAATCCTGACAGTGCACAGAGACTTTTAAACACAAACACACACAACAAAATGACTTTTCTTCACTTGGAAAAGTCCAAAAGTGCCAAAGAACTAATGTATTTGGTTGGTACAAATGTAATTGCAGCTTTAATGAAAAGTAATGACAAAAATTGCAATTACTTTTGCACCAACTTAAATCGTTTTTTGTTTTTTTCTTCTTCCAAGTAAGACTATCAAGTCTTTTTAAATGCCCAAGCATCAAATGATAGTCACACTCATTAGTAAATAGGCAACATTTAATAAGAATATATTGCCTTCTATGCTCTACATTTAAAATTCCTTAAAATGACAACTATGGCACCATGTAATCACACGAACTCCCTAAACTCAGGCAAACTGGAGAAAATATCTCCAACAGAGATTGACAAATGCCTCAGAAACATTTCCAACTTCTTAGGCTTAGAGCTTTTAATCCATCGAGGAAATCCTTAGATAAATTATTACTTAGTTAACTGTTACTCAACACATCATTTTACGTCATTTTACTGACTATCGGGGCAACTGGCAGCTTCGATTGCAGTGATTTGAAAGGTTGTTGGGATTAACAGAAGCTTTCAGAGCTCTGCATCTTCTTGCTAAAACGACACCTCTCTGAGGTGTTTAGATGGAGTTTCACTCTTGTTGCCCAGGCTGGAATGCAATGGCGCAATCTCGGCTCACTGCAACCTCTGCCTCCGGGGTTCAGGTGATTCTCCTGCCTCAGCTCCCAAGTAGCTGGGATTACAGGCATGCGCCACAACGCCCGGCTAATTTTTTGTATTTTTTGTAGAGACGGGTTTTCACCATGTTGGCCAGGATGGTCTCGATCTCTTGACCTCGTGATTCACCTGCCTCGGCCTCCTAAAGTGCTGGGATAACAAGCGTTTTCCATTGAAAACAATAGCTATGCCCCCTTAATGAGTGGATTTTTTTTTTCTATTCACATAGAAAACATATATCAATGTCAAAAAAGTACATAAGACGAAGTCTCTATTTCAGCCTCACTAATGTTAGGACCACTAACACCAGAATGACACTTGTGTGGGAAGCACCTTAGACTCTCCATTTGAGATGCACAAAGGGCATGTCTGGGAAGCTAAAATGGGAACACAGAACATGCTGAACAGCAGCTCTTGTCTCAGAGAGAAAAGGCAATTAGCAAATGCTTGCGTTAGCCTCCTCTTCTGTGTCTTCACAAGGATAATTATTTGCTTTAACACAGGGTGGCTTGACTTCTTTATTTTGCTAACTATAGCCATAGGTGATCATCAGTAAATTAAAATGTGTTTGAATTTTTGCAAGCATGCATGTGTAAATTCAACACATTTGCATTACCAACAAAGATGCAGTGTAGTTAATTCTTCTTATGATTTTTGGTCTAAAATTGTCGCATGGCACTTCACTTACATAATGTTTCTTTACAATGGAAGCATAAATGTAGCCATGGTTTCATGATGTTCATTATTCTCTTCTACAAGAACTAACAGTTAAGAGAGTTTGAGTTTTGTTAATCACAACTACATGTCTTATTTATAAAGGATTCTATGTGGTTCTTGCCATCCTTAAGGAATTAAAATTTCCAAGTAAGCCATTTTAAATTAAATCACATACATTCTCTCTCTCTCTCTCTCCCCCTCCCTCTCTCTTACCATATAGTACTAGCTCAGCATCTACTGAGCTAGGGACTTCACACAAGTTATTTAACTTTCTAATGTTCACTTTTCTCTAAACAATGAGAGTGATTTTGGTACTAACTTCATAGGATGGATGGATGGAAGGAAGGAAAAAATAAACACAGCCTGGCACATAGTAAGTTCTCTGAAATATTGTTTCAGAGGTTGTTATTATTACTATCATATATAAAAAGTCCAACATAATGCTGGACACCGAAGATGCTCCAGAAATGTTTCTTTCTCCTTTCATTTCTTCCTCCCTGTCTCTCTGCTGTGTACAGAGCCTTTTTGTGTAGAGCACAGATTTCTAGATCTATGTGAAAACTTTACTTACAAGTTTTTAAAAAATAAAAATATAAAACTTTGTTTAGCCAACAATAAAGCAGAAATTCATTCATTTACTTTCTAGTTCTTGCTGTAATAGGTCTAAACCGTATGTCAGGCAAGAAAAAGAAAACCTGAATATAAAATGCTGTGCTGTGTTAGCTCATCTGATATTTCAGGATGATTTGCAAGTTTGGGTGGGGGCGCTTTTTCTCATCTCTTCCAGCCCTCATGCAGAGAATACTTTGATCTGCAAGGAAGTCAGGCATCATCCAACACAGTCCTTTTCTTTTCAAGGGGCAGACACTAAGGTCCCCAGAAGCTAAGTGGCTTGTTGAGAGCTAGTGATGGCCAGGATAACAGGGCTCTCCCTGTGCTCTGAGTCAGGGCTTCTTTCCATTGCAGCTGCGCTTCACCCCACCTGTCTCTCCTGAGAACAAATTAGAGGCGCTCACCAGCACACCTCTGTTAACTGAGGTTAGCAGGTCCCCCAGGAGAGCATGGTTTCTAACACCATTCTTTCTATCACCTGTCAGTGCCTCCTTCGATTTCTTTTTACCTGAGGCGGAAAAAGCATTCTCTTCCCTTGAGTCTCCAGACTGTTAAGGATTTGAGGGGCCCTCTATTAGCACTCTTCTTCTGTCTCTGAATTTCTGAACCATCTTCTGTCTCTGAGTTTCTGAACCATGTGAGAAATAAGACAAATGGGAGATCGAAGTAGGGGATCTCCTTTATCACTGGCAAAAGCTGGGCTGGAGGAAGTCGTTGATGGGTCTGATCATGCTCCTCCCCTAGCCTTGACCTCAAATCAGCCCACCAACTGGGAAAGTCTGAGTCTGGAGTCAACACGGGTCCAGGGCAGGAGGGAAAGGATGGATTGGCTCCCCCAGTGGAGACACAGGGGCCAGTGCTTATACCCCAGCAATGAAGCAGCAGTTAAGAGGGGCAAGAGGGTAGGCAAGCAGAAGCCCTGGGGAAAACGTCTCCATGTAGAAACCAGAGGAATGAGGAATGGGTTTCCCCTCTAACCAAGCTATTATTGTTTTAGTGTAACATGGCAGCATGCAATTTTTTTGTATTTTTAAAAATAAATGTAAGCATCTTGCAGGGGAAAAAAAGTGAATGATCATTAAGTTCTATATCATGCCAGATTCACTTCAGAGCTTTGCCAACCTGCACTCATATTTCATTTTCATGTCATTGTAATCCACATGTGCATACTGTCCTCCATTCCTGCTTTTGTGCTTGACATTATTTCAAACACATCTCATGCATCCACGTCACTCACATGGTCATTTCATTTGCATTTCTCTAATTCCTAGCAAGGTTATGCATTTTACAAGTGGCACCTGGGACTTGATTTTTTATTTACCAGAACAAACACTCTTCCTACTTGGAAGAGTATGTTCTTTTATTAGGTCTGTGTAGCACGTATGTTTCCATTGTGCTGCTTTTGTTCTTCTGTTTGGTGTACAACATTTCCTTTTGCAAATTAAAAATCAGAAAGTTCTATAAGGAAGTCAGCACTATCCATCTGGCTTCCCTCTTGAACAACCTGAATAAATAAATAAATATATATTTGTTTCTACTATTCTATTTTTCGTACATTTTTATTCTGGTTTTAAAGTTTTATTTTTAGTTTTTGGATCTGTGTGAAATGTATTGCCATATTGGTTCAATATATAGATATAAAGCAATTCTTCATAGTCATATTCAATGGTTATTTATTAAATAAGGATTTCTTAGCTCACTAGAGATACATTTTAAACATGGGTTTTCAAAAATATGAACCATAATTCATATCATAGAAAATCAGATTTAGTGGTGAGCTTACATTTATTAATGTACTTTTGTGTTTCAGAATTAGAGTTGACACTTTTAAAAATCCTAAACTCCAGAGGGTCCTGAACCCTGAGCCTTTTCAGAATAAAATGTCCTTCCTTCATACAATATTTTACCAGATATGGTGGCTCATTCCTGTAATTTCAGCACTTTGGGAGGCCGAGGCAGGAGGATCACTTGAGCCCAGGAGTTCAAGACCAGCCTTGGCAAAATAGCAAGACCCCATCTCTAAAAAAAAAAAAAAAAAAAAAAAAAAAAAAATCCAGGCATGGTAGTGTGCACCTGTAGTCCCAGCTACTTGGGAGGCTGAAGTGAGAGGATCACTTGAACCTAGGAGGTAAAGTCTGCACTCCAGCCTGGGTGATGGAGCAACACTCTGAGAGCAAGACACTCTCTGTCTGTCTGTCTGTCTCTCTCTTGCGCTCTCTCTCTCTCTCTCTATATATATATACACACACACACAGACATGCACACACATATATGTATGTATGTGTATATATGTGTGTGTGTGTGTATATATATATACATATCAGATTTTTATATCTATTTCTAAATAAAACTCTTGTTACATAGGTACCCATGAGAGCCTGAAAGAATTCCTGTCACCCATTCTCCATAGTGACAGTCATCTATAAAAAACAACTTCGGTTAACCATGAGGATTTGAGAAAATGTAATTGAACAGAAGTTGATATTGATCACCCCAAAACCAGGGGGTGTCCCTAAAGCCAAATGAAGAACAATAATGTAGCAACAAACCATTTTTTTAAGCCACTTGGACAAGGTCCATTTGAGGTGTTTGCCTCATGCCTCACTTATGGGAGGAGCGGCAGGCTGGGGTATGGGTAAGCTCCAGGGCCCTGGCAGCAGCCTACTGAGCAGTTGTTTCTACAAGTATCATAATGAGCTAACAGCAAACCTCTGGCTTCTCCATGAGGTCATTGTCGGGGGTTGGAGGTTTCTGGTAGATGATGCATGTTGTCATCAACAGGTGTTTGTCTATTGAATGAGTTTATTCATTCTCTCTGATTTGGTGTTAACTTTGACTCTCCTAACATCTTTGTTTCTTATGCTTCACCAGAAGAGGAGAGTAAGGCTGGCACAATCTTGGTGGCCAGCTCTATATCTTAGATCCGTTGCTTTCTATGTCTCATGATTTAAGACTTATGACATTGACCTACACTGACATCTGCATACTATTCTCTGCTGCTTCTGTAACCTGCTTCTACCTTGTTAGACGTGTCTGCCTCTGAAACACATTTTTCTTTTCCACTTCATCCTTCTGCTCTCTCCAGCCCCATTGTCCTTTGTGTCAGATTCATATTCATGATCCACGGTTAGACAACACAACTTCCTGCTTCCTCATGCTGTCTGTCCCATGTTAGCCACACAGCCAGCATTTCCTGCCGGAAACCTCATCAGGACGAGGCACAATTACACTGCAGTTTCTCTTGGCTCCTTTACTCTTTATCCTTAATTCAGTGTTTTCTCAAAGCGTGGTACCCTGACCAGCAAAAGGAGCACTAACATCACCCAAGGACTTATTAGATGTGCACATTCTTGGGTCTCACCCAGAAACTACTGGGTCAGAAGCTCTGGGGGTGAAGCCCAGCAATCTGTTTTTTAATAGCCTCCAGCGGGTTGCTATGCCAGCTACAGTTTGAGAACCACTGTCTTAACCCATGTCTCATCCTGCCTTCTTTCTTCCTGCTGTTTGCATTTTACTAATTCTAATAGGAAGCAGCTCATGATTGGAGGTTATTGTGTACCATTTTTCAAAGCCATTATCACAGATGACTTTAGAAGTTCATGTAAAACATCAGCATAATTTCCAACACTCAGTGAACACTGTCTCATCCACACTAACAAGATGGTGATGACCTAGCTAGATGGGGATACAGATAATGCCTAAGCCTCACCTTAGTGAGGCAAGTTACGTTCTTCCTGGGGAGAATTTTTTAATAATGTGAATTTTTTAATGCTGGTAAAGATGCTAATAAACATTATCAATTGGCTGGGTGCAGTGGCTCCCACCTGTAATCCCAGCACTTTGGGAGGCCGAGGTGGGTGGATCACTTGAGTCAAGGAGTTCCACATGAGGCTGGGCAACATGGCAAAACCCTGTCTCTACAAAAAATATAAAAATTAGTGGGGCATGGTGGTGTGGGCCTGTGGTCCCAGCTACTCTGGGGGCTGAGGTGAGAGTATCACTTGAGCCTGGGAGATGGAAGCTGCAGTGAGCCATGTTCATGCCACTGCACTCCAGCCTGGGCAACAGAGTGAGACCCTGTCTCAAACAAACAGCAACAACAACAACAACAAACCCAGTACTGATATATAAATAGCAGGACATGGAGAGACTAGTCTTCAAATTCATAACACTTGGAATTACCAAGCATTAGGAATTCCCAGATAATTCCTTAGCTTAATGATGGGTATATACAGCCCATTACATTAATGTTTCGTGTGTGTGTGTGTGTGTGTGTGTGTGTGTGTGTGTGTGTTTAAAAATGTCATAATAAAAAATTTAAAATATTACTTAAAAGTGGCAGTATTACTCCATCCTTAAATGAATCCAAGTAAAATAGTTTTTACTTTTATTGCTACCCATCTTGGTCATAAATGATATTAATAATGAATTTGTACTTATTGAATGGTTTTCATTTCTTTCTACTAGATATGTATACACATATATGGATGGATGGGTGGTTGATAGGTAGGAAGATAGGTAGGTAGGTAGGTAGATAGATAAGTAGATAGAGATAGATAGATAGATAGATAGATAGATAGATAGATAGATAGATAGACAGAACAAGGTTATCAATATTAATGTTGAAGAAATTGCCAAAAGCTAAAATATGTGTATGGTCTGTACATTTCTTCTAATTGTGTAAATTGGAAAATCCTTTAATAAAACAATTTCACAGGATCCATGTATGTGTCAGTAGACATTGGAATATTAATACATGAAAATTTCATTTACTGGAATTTATCCTAAAGGGGGAGAATTCTAATTGCAGAAAAATTGTATGCAAGACGATGGTCCTCACTGCATTTTTTTCATAATAGCATAAGTCTATCCCTTTGTGACCAACCAAATGGGAGCTAGCCAAGTAAATATTGATATATAGTCATCCAGTATAATCATTAAGATGATAGTTATGCTTATAATAGTATGGGGGAAGCAAGCTATAAAACTTGGCACACAGTAAGATTACAATCTTGAAAAACATGTTCAAAAAGAGGAAACTGTTTCTGTTAGGTAGGGTGGTGATATGATTAGTGTCTTACACCTTCTTCTCCTGTTTTTACTTTTTCAAAGGAAATGTGTATTTAGCAATTATAACAGTGGAGTTCCCAAGCTTATTTCCTCTCCAAAGTGGTTTGGGCCTTTGTGATTTAGCCACATTACTTTTAATCTATAGAGAGCCCAATTTTTCAAGAGTTAGTATGTCCCAAGAGGAGCAAGCAATATTGCTTCTCTGTTACCAGCCAAGCCCAGGATTCATGGAGAGAGTCTAGAGTCATCCAACCGCAGTTACATCTCTTTTTTCTAATGTTGCTTCTATGGTACTCTTAACTGTTAAAATGTATGGCAATCATTTGATTGCATCCTTCCCCCAAAGAAGCAGAACTTGGCAAGAGCCCTGAGACCTCCGTCCCCTCTGGTTGTCTCGTCCAGCACTTTTATTATACTTTGGAACATCAAGAATCAAAGCGGTTTCCTAGAGATGTGTTAGGCTGAATGACAGCTGCATCATTATTCCACCAACTGGGAAATTGAAACAGAGTTACTTCCCACGGCATCTGTTTGAACATGCTAAATAAAGGCACGTTAAGAAGACTGGGGAGCATCCATGATGGGATAGCGACACACTGACGCTCAGCCCTTCCCATCCCAAAGACTCCCAGTTCATCTGTGTGATTTCCATTGCATGGGCTTACAGTCTGCACTGCTTTTGCTTTCTTATTAATTAGTAATCATCATATTATTGATCCCAATTATAATAACTTTTACTACCATTTTGGGCATATAAAAAAGCGGAATTAAAAAAAGAAAAAAAAACACACTCTTCAAATGCTGGTGCTTTACACTGTCCGCTTCAGATGATTTTTTTTTGGCATTCATTATATTTTTTCTATGCTTATAGAAGATTCAGGTCAAACACCATATGCCCTTGAATCATATGCTGTTTCAGGCCTGTTGGTTTGTTGATTATTCTGTTAAACAGATATTCACTGGACGGACTCTAATCGGGCGGGGGTGGGCCAAGGAGGGATTCTGTGCCACCATAGATCAGTGATTTATAAAATTAAACTAGAGGTGGAACATAGCAAAAAGGAAAGGATTATTTACCCAAGAATCACCTTGGAGTCACTTAACTGTTTCTTTTCTACGAGTTGTCATCTTGCTTCTGGTTTTAAGTCGGATAATTGCTCTGCTGGTTTCTGTTTCTGACTCGGCAGAACTTAGTCTTTCATCTGGTGTTTATTCATCTCGCTGGAACAGCTTTCAGTCCTCTTTAAAAATTAATTTGACTTTAATGTCTAGTTATCTAAGACTCCCCTGGGCTAGGATGAAATCACACAGGGGGAATTGTGATTTGACAAATGGCCATTGTATGGGAGCCTTTGATCCTGCACCGTGGTCCTTGTTTTGCTGAGCTTTAAGCAACATCAAAGTCTGCACTACGTGGCGTGATTGGTGGTCGGCACCGGGAGAATTCTGGCACTTCCCAGCATCGCTGAGTGGCTGCAGCCTGTTAGGTGCAGATGAGAGCTGTCCTAATAGTTTATCCAAGTAGAGAAATTGGACCAGGGTGGAGGCAAACAGAAGACAGGACCTTGGTGCGTGTTGAATGACATGAAGCCCTTTGCTCCCTAAAGTAGGAATTCCCAATCCTGGTCTTCCAATCTCTGAGGCTTGCTGAGTTTTTTCCCAAGTTTTTAGAAATTATGAGAAAAAAATAATTTTAATTTACTTTTTATTTTTAAAAATACATAGAAAATGGCCGGGCGCGGTGGCTTATGCCTGTAATCCCAGCACTTTGGGAGGCCCAGGTGGGCGGATCACCTGAGGTTGGGAGTTTGAGACCAGCCTGACCAACATGGAGAAACTCCATCTCTAATAAAAATACAAAATTAGCCGGGTGTGGTGGCACGTGCCTGTAATCCCAGCTACTCAGGAGGCTGAGGCAGGAGAATCGCTTGAACCCGGGAGGCGGATGTTGTGGTGAGCCAAGATCATGCCATTGCACTCCAGCCTGGGCAACAAGAGTGAAACTCTGTCTCAAAAAAAGTAATAATAATAATACATAGAAAACGTGATGGATTCGGGTTAGAAAGACACAGAGAAAACAGGCAAAATGCTGAAGATCATTGGAAATTTTTGCCCTGATGATTAGACAACATATCTCTAACGATGAAATAAATGTCTTAAAAGCAAAATAACAGATGTTGGTTTCAGAGGCTGACCTTGATTGTTCAGCAGCATCTAGACTCAGCAGGCGGGAAGTGCCACTCTTTCTTGAAAGGCAGACATTGTCTAACTCTGCAATCTCCTTTTCTCTCTGACAGATGGGGAACTCTCTATATCCAATGAAGAGGACTCCCTAGAAAATGGGCAGTCCCTGAGCTCCAGCCAGCTGTCTCTGCCTGCCCTGTCCGAAATGGAGCCAGTCCCAATGCCCAGGGATCCCTGCTCATATGAGGTGCTCCAACCGTCAGACATCATGGATGGGCCAGGTAATGCCCCGGCAGGATTGTAGAGCAGGTCCCAGACACCAAGTCCAGCCAGGCACCAGGGATCTTTGGCCTGGCTGGACTTGGAATTCTATTTTGGACTATCCTGAGCGTAAGGATCTGGAAATTTAGTGAAACAGATTAGTTTTTAGTACATACTGAGTATTTTTAAAAATGGAATATACTTACACTTATTATCCTACAGTGTTTAAAAAACTCTTTACTACCTTAATCTCTTTAAAGATGATATGGCTTATTTTTGTAACATTAATGATTTAAAATATTATTATTTTGTTTTTTAACATTCATCTCTGTTAAGATAAAGCTGAGGAATCCTACATTTCTATATGATACCTATCTAATTCGTCTGTCTGAAAGGTCCTTTAGTCTTAGTCCCAGTATGCCAGTTAATACTTGTATCAATTTACTGGATATAGTCAATTAATTTAATTGTCTATTAAACTGTATATAATTTACTGATTGAATTGTATCCTGCTGATAGCTGATTTTTGATGCCATCTGACTGTCATCTCCTTCTTTGGTCCAAAGGTGGCTGAGTGGCCAATACTCATCCTCTCAGAAGGTTTGCAGAGCGGTCCTAATTTGCCCCAAAATAGGTCCCTCCTGACAGCTAATGAGCAGTGGTACTTGTCAGGAGATGAGTCTGGGAGAAGGAACCTCTTGCAATATCCAGAGTATAGATAGAAAGGCCTCTCTCCCCATCATGTGCAAAATCCACATCCATAGGCAGTCACGTGGGAGGGTGGGAGGGATGAGGTTTCACAGGGTTAATTCCCATGCTTCGTTATGGGACCCGGTGAGTCATTGCTCCATCACTGTGTGCCACATTGACAATAATAGTGTCCCTGAGGCAGGAGAATGTAGTGCTCATGAGGATTTTCAGCAGGGCTTTGGTGCTGCACAGAACACCTGATCAGGGAGGAGGAAGGAGGGTGGGGAGGGGAGGAGTCCCTTACAGGCTTTCTCACTGAGGCGGTGGCGGGAGGTGAGAGGAGATGCAGTGGAGTTACACCCTCCCACCCCAGGGAGGGTTTCCCAATGAAAGCAGTGCTTTTTTAAAAAGAATCCAGACTTCCTTGTGACACTGAAGTCAGATAGATTTGACTGTTATAGTAAAAATCTGTCATTCCAGCAGAATCACAGAGTTTCAATCTGTCATCAGCCAAGCTACCGGCATGATAGGAAGGTGTGTGCCACCACCCAATGACAACTCTTCATGAAAGCCAGTCAGGGGTTCCCCCATGAAAGAAAGGAAGAGGCGCGTCCAATGCAGTGCAAAGAGAAATGGAGGAATTGATAAAAGAAAACTATAGTTGTGGTGAGCAAGAAGAGAGAGGAAAGGGGAAGATGAAAAGGTTGATTTAAAGCATCCCTTGCCTCGTCAAAGTTTACAGGAGCTGGTGGGGGCAGGATGCTGTTGCTAAAACTACAGAATTTGGGCTGAGAGGCTGCTGCTCAGCGCCGGGCACTCCAGAACCTGGAGGAGCAGCCGTCCAGTGCCTGGGGTGCAGCCTATGAGGTGTCAGCGTTCCAGGCTGTCATCTGTACCCAGTGTCGCAGATTTGAGAGCAGAGACAGAGCGGACCCAGTGGACAAAACTGAGCCCCTCCACTTGTTTGAATCCACTCCCTCTTGCCCCTCAGCAAAGGGCAAGCAGGCCCCAGCGAGGCTGCTGGCATTCAGTTCTGGTTTGGTTTAGAGGGGCTCTGCATCCTGGGCCTTCTGCACTGGCCACCCTGGTGATTCCTGCTGTGCCCCATGAGTCCCATCTTAGAGCATGTGTAGGGTTTGCATGACCAAAGCTGAGTTTGAAATGGTCAAGTGTTTGATGGTTTTGAGAAAACATCCTCCTCCTCTTTCTCCCTGTTGCTCTTCCCGCCTCCACTCTCTCTCTTCCTCTGCCTCCTCTCTCTGTCCTCCTGCTTCACTGGATTTCTGGCCTCCTCGCTGTAGCTCTCTACACATGCGTGGCGGCCTGAAGCATCGGTGCTCCGCTGTGTTGCCAGCCCGAGTCCCTGTCCTGTGTTCCCCGCTGGCCCCGCCTGCACTGCGTTTGTGTAATGTCTCCTGTGTATCATGTGGTTGTCCCCTCAGTGTCTGAAGAGAGTCCCTCTGCCAGTGAGTCTGGAGTCCTCCTGTCCCAAGATCCTTCAGCCAAACCAGTCCTGCTACTGCCCCCCAAAAAACCTGCTGCTTTCCCTGGAGACCATGAAGAGACCCCAGTGAAGCAGCTGCCCCTTCTCAAGCAGCCCCCGGCCCTGCCTCCCAAACCCACTACCAGGATTGCCAACCACTTAACAGGTGAGTGCAGACGTCTTCTGGGGCAAGCAGTCCCTCCTTCCCTTCAAGGGATTTTCTTTTTCTCTTGTTCTTTGAACTGAGGCCTGAAGGCAGCTCTCTGGGGAGGTTGCCCTGTGGGATGTTTGGGTGTTTCTGTGTGTGTCTTGATATCTGCAGTCATGACCAGGGTTTGTGTTTTTGTGTCAAGCAGCATTTGATATCCACCTACCAGCCATATGCCAAGAGCTTTCAGTCATGTGTATCTGTAAATGTGTACATTGTATTTAAGTGACTAATTCAAGATTATTTGCTCATCTAGGTGAAATCGATTCAATGTCAACATTTTTGCAAAGATAAAGAATAGTGCCTTCTCCATATGAGTATGTCAAGGTTTTAAATTTTTTGTCTTTAAGTTATTGATCTGAAGCCCAGTGTATTTCACCTATTAAAATTCATGTCAGTGCTGTCTGTTCTCTTAGGGAAAAAAAAAAAAAAAAGACAATCTGCAAATTATGTGGTAAATACTTTTAAAAGAAGAGTAAGCTTAGCAATGTTGTTCTAAAATGATTGCACACGTCCTTTGCAGTGTTTCTGAAGTGTTACTTAATGAATGTAGCCACAGGCATTAAATTGAGCACTCAGTGAAATTGTACTTCACTGCACTTTGGCACATGAATTAGATACCACTTTGTGATTGAAGGCTGTGGTATAATCAGAGATTAAAATATTTCAGAGGGTCATTTCTCCAACTTTGATAATAGTTTCACCTGATGCTGATCGACTGCCTTTTTAAAAAGCACTCGGTATTTTGACAAATAATACCTAGGTAATCATTGTAACATTTTGTAACATGTAATGGGGGTGGAATTAGGGAAAAATATTCACCTATCTTATAGGAGAAACACTGAGGTTCAAGAAAAATAAGTGACTTCCAGGGCTGACAGGAATTCTGTAATAGAGGCACAATCGATGCTATATTTCTCAACTCCGAGTTCAGCTAATGTTGTTTCCAGAGCAGGCTGTCTTTCACGTGATACTGAGTTCTATAAGAGTCCATCTTAGACATGGGCTCATGTCAAACTAATCTATTAATGTGTATGTCCATCCAAGTCAGATGTGTATGGCTTGAAAGAGCAAATTTCCATCAAACGGAACCATCTAACATATCAATAACACTTTTGTTCGATGTCCAAAAATTGAAATTCACAGAAAACTACAAAGGAGAAAAGGTCCCATAAGCCTCCTTCTAGGCAATATCCACTGTCCATCTGTCTGTCTATTGAATAAAAATTGAATGTTGCTGTACGTATTGTTTTGTCACCTGCTTTTTGCACTTGGTGATATATTGTAAACTGATTTTCGTGTTAGTAACAATTCCACAACGTGATTTTATTAGCTGCTTGGATGGATCAGGGTTTACTTGACTGACCCCTTAAAGTTTTTCCATCTTCCTTATTGCTAAATCGCAACAGCAAACAACTGCAACAGCCTGCATATATCTTCATAAGCACTTCTGAGTTTTCTCTAATTTATTTCTAAAATTAGAACTGTTGAGTCAAAGATTATGCACCCTTTAAGGCTTTGATGTCAAATTTCCCTTAAGAAAGATTAAACATTGTACAAAATAAACCCCTACATGTAGTACATATTTATTCAACACATCTACAATAGGCAGAATACTGTACTAAGTATCAAAGTAGATAGGAATATGTAACAGTTTAATGCAGCTGTCCTCAACCTTTCTGGCACGAAGGACCAGTTTTGTGGAAGACCATTTTTCCACAGACCGGAGGTGGGGCGGGAGAGATTATTTCGGGATGATTCAAGTGCATTACATTTGTTGTGCACTTTATTTCTATTATTATTACATTGTAATACATAATTAAATCATTATACAGCTCACCATAATGTAGAATCTGTGGGAGCCCTGAGCTTGTTTTCCTGCAACTAGACAGTCCATCTAAGGGTGGTGGGAGACAGTGACCGATCGTCAGGCAGTGGATTTTCATAAGGAACATGCAGCCTGGATTCCTCACATGCGCAGTTCACAATAGGGTTCGCGCTCATCTAATGCTGCTGTTGATTTGACAGGAGGTGGAGCTCAGGAGGTAATGGTGAGCAATGGGGAGTGGCTGTAAATACAAATGAAGCTTTGCTCACTCACCCGCCACTCACCTCCTGCTGTGCAGCCCGGTTCCTAATAGGCCGCGGACCAGTACAGGTTCATGGCCCTGGTGGTTGGGGACCCCTGGTTTGATGAATGCATATATATACGTAGAGAGAGAGTACTAACACAACTACTGTTAGCAGTAACACTTGCAATTCAATGCAGTCTGATAAAGAGAAGGCTGAAGCTTGAACTGACTTTTCAAGCATGAAGGACATTTATAGAAAATGAGGGAAGAGTATTCCAGGAAAGAAGACCCTAGACAAAACCTCAGAGGTGGCAACATTTTGGGTCATTGAAGAGTTGGCTGAGTAGGGGTGGAAGCTTCATTCTGAAGTATACTGAGAGACAGGACTCACTAGAAAAAGGCATAAAAAGATTTAGATTTTAATCCCTAGGCAGTGAAAAAACTTTGGAGGTTTTTAAGCAGAGGAGTGATATGATGAAAACTAGCCTTTAAGAGATCTTGGATCACCATGTAGAAGGAGCAGAAAGAGGAGCAGGTTGAAGGCCTATCAGAGAAGCCACCACCAAGGCTAGCTCTAGGCCATGCACTCCAAAGTCAGATCAGCTAAATGGACTCAGCCATGGGATACCATTGAGCCAGGGATACCCTGAGCCACGGATACCATTGAAGAGGCTTCTCCAGTCATTGAAATATGAGCTAACAAGCATCTGACTGATATCAGTGAGAAGAGAGAGAGCAAACCAGTAGATATGACATTGTAAAAAGAAGAGTCAGCAGAATTTCTTAACTGACGACACCTCTGATTTATCTAGTTATCTCATTAATGGAGACAAACTTAAGTTTCATCTATGAGCCCAGGAGCTCAGGTGGCCTGGTATCCACAGGGTTCTTTACATATGAGAGACCGAAGATATCTCAATTGGCCCCATCTCTCTGGCTTCCCTGGTCCTTTCCTGAGAGAGTAGACTCTGTTATCTATATGCCTCACCTCTATACAGCTTGGATCAAATGAATAAAAATACACAAAAAGCTAATATCCTTACTATGTAGTACCTGGTAACCTCTTAAACATGATAAAGTAAGACAGGTGGAGAAGTCCGTGGACTGCAAATCTAGTGCTATCCTTTTGGGCTTAAACTCAATTAGACTTGCTTAATTTTTATAAGTGAGCAATCAGTTATAATGAATCTGCATCACCATGAGGTAGCTACATTAACCCTGTTCTGTTACTAATTGCTCTGAAGACATCTGGGCCATGTCAGAAGGAATTAATAAACTAAGAATTCTAGAACTCTAAATTGAGACTCATGAGTTTTAGCCTGTTCTCAGTGTCTGCTGCTCTGGTGACATGTTTGAAAGGAAACACAGGACAATTGAAAGACACCAAGCGTGATTAATGGGGAGTGACAGTGGCTAATGGTCTGGTAGAATGCTGGAGGAAATGTGAGGCTGAACTGGAACTACTACCAAATTCACAGTCAGGGAAAGTCATGCAGAAATACCTCTACCGTGGCGTTTGCTTCCACTTTATCAGGAAAATGTAATTAATTTGGAGAGTATTTGTCTTACAAATTTCTTCTGTTCATCAGCCAGGTGGGGAGAAGTTCTCTCATTCTCCCTGTCTGTCTTGCTTCATTTCTTGTTAAAATCTCCTTCCATCTCACCTCCTCCAACATCAACCATGCAACAGCATGCGATACAGGGCCAGGAGTTGTTGGCATCAGTTTCCTTTGTTTCCAGAAGTACAGTGTCCGACAGAGCTTGTTGTGTAATGAATGTGATCTGAAGTGAAATGCATCCTTCTTGGAATCCTTGGAGTGATGGGTGACCCCAAAAGGGTGATGAAGGCAAAAGCCACTGTCTCCTGCCTCTCTAAGTCATCATCAGTCACTTCTCTGTGGCATTCTGGCTCCAGAAGTCAGATGTTCAACGCTGCATGAATAACCTATGCCTTCTGCATAAGGTACCTGTGGCAGGTGCCCCCGGCATGCCAGTTGAATGAAGGATAAATCAATTTAGCTGGACTTCACAGTCAGATGTTCACATTTGGGTAATAATAATGTCAGCCTTTTTTGAGAACTTTACCACATACTCTTTGATATTGTTATCATTATTACCTCTTTTCACAGATGAGCATGAAATTTGGAGAAATTAAAGGACTTGGTCGTAGTTACTTAGCTAGTAAGTGGCAGATAAGCATGAACCTATTTTTTTTGACTCCAGAATCCTCATTTATAACCATTTGTTTATAGTATCTCCACCAAAATTCCCACCCCCCCTTTTTTTTTTCTTTTTTTGAGACAGGATCTCACTGTATCTTCCAGGCTAGAGTGCAGTAGCACAATCACGGCTCACTGCAGCCTCCACCTCCCAGGCACAAGTGATCCTCCTATCTCAGCCTCCTGAGTAGCTGGAACTACAGGCACATGCCACCACGCCTGGCTAACTTTTGTATTTTTTTGTAGAGAAGGAATTTCACAAAGTTGCCCAGGCTGGTCTGGACCTCCTGAGCTCAAGTGATCCACCCATCTCTGCCTCCCAAAGTGCTGGGATTACAGGAATGAGCCACCTTGCCCGGCCTATTCCCAAATCTTTAAAAAAATCAGCTTTCTTTGTGTTTTAGCATTGTATGTTTTCATCT
This sequence comes from Homo sapiens, assembly GCF_000001405.40. Lineage (NCBI taxonomy): Eukaryota > Metazoa > Chordata > Mammalia > Primates > Hominidae > Homo > Homo sapiens. The sequence continues at coordinate 13,189,761 of NC_000006.12, forward strand.
GCTTAAGAAGTTTGAAAATCGGCCCCTTTGTTTTTAAAAGTTGTGTTATTCTGCTTGGGCTGCCGCAACTAAAGAATGTAGATTGGGTAGTTTACACAACAGAAATGTATTTCTCTTAGTTCTGGAGGCTGGAAAGTCCAAGATCAAGGTCCGTAGGGTTCGGTTTCTAGTGACATATCTTTTGCTGGCTTGTAGACAGCTCCCTTCTCTCTATGTTCTCACATAACAGGGAGAGAGAAAGAGATCTCTGATATCTCTTCTGCTTTTTTTTTTTTTTTTTTTAAAACAGTTTCTACTCCGTCGCCCAGGCTAGAGTGCAGTGGCATGATCTTGGCTCCCTGCAACCTCCACCTCCTGGGTTCAAGTGATTCTCCTGCCTCAGCCTCCCGAGTAGCTGGAATTACAGGCTTGTGCCACTATGCTCAGCTAATTTTTGTATTTTTTTTTTTTTTTTAGTAGAGGTGGGGTTTCACCATATTGGCCAGGCTGGTCTCGAACTCCTGGCCTGAAGTGATCTGCCCGCCTCAGCCTCCCAAAATGCTGGGATTACAGGCGTGAGCCACCAAGCCCGGCTTGATGTCTCTTCTTATAAGGACATTAATCTTATCATATTAGGGTTCCATCTTCATTGCCTCATTTGACCTTGATTACTTCCTTACTCCAAATACAGTCACATTGGGGGTGAGAGTTTCAACAGATGAATTTAGGAGGTGGGGGGACACAATTCAGTCCACAGCATGACTCAAGGACAAAAATTATCTAGTTCTTCAAAAATTAGTCATATACTCAAGGCACTTGGTTATAAAGAGGAGGATCTGAGTTCAGTTGGGTCGGGTTTCAAAGAACAGACCCAAAGGAGACAGTTTGTGTAAGAGTCAGGAGCAGGGGTAAACCACATGGGAAGCATCTGACCACAGTTAGAGATTACTGACACTTCAGCAAAGAAAGGAAACTGAGGCTTATCCTTGAAAACAAGTCCTACTGATAATACACACCTACCCAGGACTTATTTGCACAGTGGTTAGAATTCAAAATACAAGGAAACTTAATATATTCTCAGAACTTAGTTGATTGCTCATTTCAATGTTACCAAAGTATTCGCTACTACAACTTTGCCTGACAAATGGTGTCCATGACCTGTGTTATTTTCAGCCCCAGCATGTGTACCTGTGTAACAAGAATCCTCTCTCCATGCTTGACCAATATTCCTGGTTATAGCTATCTCTCTAGTTTTGTGGACTTTTTCACTGTTCTACAGTCACATGCTGCTGCGTAATTTCATTATGTGTCTCTGTTTTTCTCTGATGCTCTCTCTCCCCCATTGATCCCCACATTCCCAACCCTCCATGTCCTCCTCTCCAACCCTCCAGAACCACCTGGCTACTTCTGCCTCTGTCCCTGCCTTCCCTCCCAGTAATCCCAGTGCAATAAAACCAAAGATTAGACCACTGTGAGCTTGGACTTTATCTATGCCTTTAAATGGAAAAAAAATGAATGTTTGCATAGAAGTCTCTCTTGGTAACTGATAATTTGAAGGTGTTCTGTGTTCTTTGTGAGATGGTCGGTCAAGTGCAGCCATAAGGTTTATTATACTCACGGGCCCTAGAGACAGGAGGCACGGCTCACCACACAGGGCACATGGGGAAGCCTCAGGGTGGTCAGGAGGCAGAAAGCAAGGAGAGGGGAAAGCCGAGGCCAGAGTGTTTATTGGGGTTTCTGCAGAAAGGCAAAGCAGGGCAGACAGAGCACTTTAGGACTGGCTAGTTTGCATGGTGTCAGCAGGCTCTAAGCTATACAAATGTTCTATAGTTGCCTGGTACCTGGCCATGGGATGATTAAGGCAGAGGAATAATGCATCCTGGGGTGGACAGGCCTGATAGAGGAAGTCTGGCTCTGGACTGGCTTGTTTCCATATCAAAGGGCTGCTCCTGACTTGGCCCTTGCTAACTCTGAGAATTGGTCAGCCCCAGGAGGGACAGTCTCCCCAGCCAGAAAGGTTTTTAAGATGTCAAAACTCATACAAAAAATAAAAAATGGAAACAACACAGAACGAATGGGGGAGTTAGCTGATTTTACTTTTTATACTCACTTTTCTACCCATTTCTCCATGTTTTTCCAGTCTTGTTTCTATTCTCAAAATGCAGAAGTTTTTTTTCTGCAGTGCATACAAGGACTATCTGTTGATTAAAACAGTTTTTAAAGGATGCTTTCTGCTCTGATTTCTATAACCAGGGCAAAGAGCGTAGCAAAATACCTGTCTTTTTTGTAGCACTGTTAGGTTGGAGATTTAATTCACTCAGCACTTATGTTTTCAATGCCTGCTATGTGCAAGGTGTTCTGCCAGCCCTCATACAATGTACAAAAATGGTTAAGGCCATCAGCGGGAGGAGCTGCAGGCTGTGATAAGCTACAGAAAATGTTTAATAGGAGGAGATGTAAACATGGCTCTAAATAAATTCAAGTATAACAAGTCAAATCCTTTTGGAGGAATCAAGAAAAAGCATCATTAAGGAGGAGTTATTTAAGACAAGCCTTAAAGATGAGTGGGATTTTGACAGGTAGGATTGGAGGAGGAGGTTGTTCTTAAACAAGATGCAAAGGACACACAGGCACGTGGGTACAAGGCTTATTATGTTCAAGAAATAGCAAATAGTCCTATCAGCAGGGATGTAGGATTCTTGTGGTGTAGTAAGGAAAATTGGGGCTGAAAAGTGGATTGTGGTGAAACTGTGGAGAGCTGTGAATGTCACGAGGAAGGATTTAACTTTGTAGAAGGAAGTTAGCATCTTTTGTGCACTTTTTAGCAGCAATTGCTTGATTTCAGCCAAGCATGTCTCTCAATTGTTCCTGTGAATAAGATGGACAGTAATGCTGTTCGATGGATTTATAACTGGATGTATAAATAAACTGGGGCATGTCCAACATCAACATGAAATTGCAAAGGGCACCAAGCTTCCTTCCTTTTGCATATTTTCTAAACATCCCAGGGGTAAGTTTCATGAGGGCAGGGATTTAATCTGATGTGTTCCCTGCTGAGTCCTTAGCTAATGCTGAACAGGAGGCTTTGTGAGGGAGAGAAGCCCTGTTGCTGAAGGAGGAGTTTGATGATCTTTTGCCTGTATCTTCATAGCAGGATACTTGCATTTTAGGGAAGTTAGCAAAATGTTCTCCAGTTCTAAGTTCTGCCATAAATTAACCCTGATTCCCCTGTATTCTGTAGTGTTTGAAGGAAACATGATAACCTAGATGTAAAAGCAACCCCTTTAAAGAGTAGCAGTTAGAACATGACAGTCATCCATATTGGTCAAACTCATGGTCCAGCCGTAGTTCTCAGGCCGTACACTAAGAATTTTGGAAGGAAACAGGCATGCTCTTACACACACCAACTACAGACAGTTAGACCAGCCATTAACATCATTGTAAATGCAAAAAATACGAGTGTGACCTCCAACAGTGAATAAATATCATCCTGCATCCAAGAGATGCAAGGTAAGAGATGAGCTGCAGCCATCCTTGTTTTTCCTTTAAAGTATTTATGGATCTAGCTTGAACTTACACTGTCACCATGAATATTCTACCTCTTAATAGCTCTCTGTGTATATATATATATATATATATATATATAGTTTTGGGGAGTGTATGTTGAGATGCGGTCTCACTATGTTGTCCAACTTGGAGTGCAGTGGCATGATCATAGCTCACTGCATCCTCAAATTCCTGGGCTCAAATGATCATCCCACCTCAGCCTCCCAAGTAGCTGGGACTATAGGCATGCGCCACTACTCCCAGCTAATTTTTTAAAATTTTTTTAGAGACAAGGTCTCTCGATGTTGCCCAGACTGATCTCCAACTCCTGGGCTCAAACAGTCCTCCTGCCTCAGCCTCCCAAGTAACTGGGACTACAGGCGAGATCTGCCACATCCAGCTCAGTATTTTCTTTTATATGATCTCAATTTACTTTCAAACTTCATACGTCTATCTCCTGTTTTGCATGTTTTGAGAGCAGATGAATGTGTCGATGCTCACCCTGATGACGTGGTGACTTTGATTTGATTCCCTATCTGCTTGGATGAATGAATGATCCTTTCATCTCTCCATCTCTGCATTTCTCACCCTCCTTTATGCCTGTCCTGCAGAAGGCCCAGGTTCAACAGCACAGTGATCAATTGAAGGGCATTCTTCTCTTCCGGTCTCCCTAGGAGCAGCAGCACCAGTCCATGGCTGCAGACATAAACAATATGATGTGTTTTTATATAGGTGATTTATAATTTCTCACAAAATACTTACTGATCCTCTCAACAGGTGTTTGTTCCATGATTAGAAGGACATCTACCATTTTGACTCTTTGAGAGCAGTTTCCTGGGCTGGGCGCGATGGCTCACGCCTGTAATCCCAGTACTTTGGGAGGCCAAGGTGGGCAGATCACGAGGTCAAGAGATCAAGACCATCCTGGCCAACATAGTGAAACCCTGTCTTTACTAAAAATACAAAAATTAGCTGGGCGTGGTGGCGCGTGCCTGTAGTCCCAGCTACTCAGGAGGCTGAGGCAGGAGAATTGCTTGAACCCAGGAGGTGGAGGTTGCAGTGAGCCAAGATCACACCACTGCACTCCAGCCTGGTGACAGAGCAAGACTCCGTCTCAAAAAAAAAAAAAAAAGAAAGAAAGGAAAAAGAAAAGAGAGCAGTTCTCTGGCAATGAATACTGTGTAATTTTATTGAAGAAAAAAAAAAAAACTAACTGAATTACATGCCCTGCAAGGGTGACGTGCCTAAGTGACTCAGTTAGCTGGAGAGTGACTCTCCTCTCCAGTCCTTCCCTACTCATGGCCATCTTCCCAGGGTACATTTAATAATGGATTGTATATTTCAAAATTGCCAAGACAGAAGATTTTAAATGTTTTCACTGCCAAAACATGATAAGTATGTAAGGTGATGGATTTGTTAATTAGCCTGATTTAATCATCCCACATTACAAATATGTATCAAAATGTCATCCCATGAATATCTACAATTATTATTTGTCTAGTAAAATTTTTTTTTAAATTTAATGTTTCTTTGTAGAAAGCGGCTCTGAAACTAAGTCAGCTGAGGGTGCCAGGGTTGTGTATGTTATCATGGCCCTTGAGGTTATGATTCCAGATCTGAGGACGGTCCTCACGGAGGCCAGATGTCTGCTGTGGTTTTCACATGCTGACCTGGCTTGGAAGGGAAAGCCAGGTTTGGGGCATTTCACAAAAATAACATTTTTTTCATTACTCTTGTTTCTCTCAACATCATCCCTCTCACCACAAGGGGTCAGTCAGCACATTTTGCCTTTGACCAAGGCAAAACGCCAGGCGAGTGATCATCCCTAGGCGGGCCTCGTGTTCTGAAGGAACTGATGGAGCTCCTGTTGACCTCTTTCTTGCAGCCAAGGGGAATCTGATTTAGTAGATTAGTGATGCTAGACTCTCATTTCTGTTCCAGATATACTGCCAATAGGCCCTTTATTATAGTCCACCATCTTCAGGTGGAGTACCTATAGCTAAGGTTAAGTAATTAAAGGAGATAAGTAATTCCAACTCACTGCAACTAGTTGGCAAATGACTGAGAAAATTTTGCAACACCTTTATTCATTGGGCACTAAGTGCTGTGCTCATTGACAAGTAACTGCCGATACAGCAGCAGTTACAAATGGGCCTCTATAGCAGGTGCTGATTAAAAAGTTCATTTGTGGCCTGGCGCGGTGGCTCATGCCTGTAATCCCAGCACTTCAGGAGGCCGAGATGAAGGGATCACTTGAGGTTGGGAGTTTGAGACCAGCCTGGCCAACATGGTGAAACCCCCATCTCTACTGAAACTACAAAAATTAGCTGGGCGTTGTGGCGAGCACCTGTAATCCCAGCTACTCAGGAGGCTGAAGCATGAAAATTGCTTGAACCCAGAAGGCGGACATTGCAGTGAGCTGAGATCGCGCCACTGTACTCCAGCCTGGGCGACAGAGAGAGACACCGTCTCAAAAAAAAAAAAAAAAAAAAAAAGTTCATTTGTGGTGGTAAGAAGAGAGGTTAGAGGTGTATTTATTTAGTCCACACTTATTCCGTGTGTCGGCTACAGCCATACGGCACAAGGACCAACTTTAGAAGTCATCTTTGCTTTTTCTTTCCTTGTCTGAAGTCATCAGCCAGGGCTGTGTCAGGTTTGGAAATACAGCCCTCTTGGGTTTTATGGCTCTGTGACATTCACGGTTTGGGTTTATTTTCCTTGTTCTCTGGAACTGGTCGTTTTTGCTTCTTCCACTCCATCAACAGAGACAGTTTTATGAATACACTGCATCTCAATCAGTCTAGCTGCAGAAATAAGTCAGCAAGCAGAGAGCTCTGTGTGTTTCCCAGCAGGAGCAGCCACCATCATCATTAGAAAGGCAAGAAGTAGTGTGTATCCTCCAACAATTAATAAATATCATGCATCAGATAGATGCAAAACCATTTATTCAGTGAGGTGCTGTCAAGGGAAAGGAGGCATTTTTATCCCAGGAATCAAGGGAAAGGAGGCATTTTTATTCTAGGATCTTTAGAGGTAAAGAGACAAAATCCCAGGAAGGTTAGATGTCTTCCTCAGGCAGTTAAAAGCAAAGGACGCAGGTTTTCAGACTCCTAGATCATCCACTGGTTTTCTTTCTTTTTTTTTTTGTTTTTTGAGACAGAGTCTCACTCTGTTGCCCACGGTGGAGCGCAGTGGTACAATCTCAGCTCACTGCAACCTCCGCTTCCCAGGTTCAAGCGATTCTCCTGCCTCAGCCTCCCAAGTAGCTGGGACTACAGGCGCATGCCACTGCGCCCAGCTAATTTTTGTACTTTTTTTAAAGACAGGGTTTCACCATGTTGGTCAGGCTGGTCTTGAACTCCTAACCTCGTGATCCGCCCGCCTTGGCCTCCCAAAGTACTGGGATTACAGGCTTGACCCACTGCACCCGGCCCCAGTCACTAGTTTTCAATACCGATGTAGTGCGGTGTGCATCAGAACAATACACTGAAACCTAGAAACCTCTCCTGGAGCATTTTGTGGTGGTGTTTTGTTGCAAGCATGGAGAACCGCCATGGAAGTCTTTCGCAAGCCTCTCTGCTCTATTACTTGATTCACTTTCCAATCACCTCTGCTCTTTTCCACTGCTTACTTATGATAGTACCACCACATATTAAACACTCTCTGTTGTTTTTTTGGCTTCTACCTTCCCACCCCAGGCTGGAAAGCATCAGGATAGGTGGATTTTCAGAAGTGTGGTGAAAGCCCTATTAGCAACACTGCAGCTATATAAGGTACTTTGCAATTTACAAAGCACGTTCACGTGATCCTGTCTGACCCTCCAAACAACCTATGGCAGAGGTGGGGAATGTATTATGATGTTTGTCTCAGAATCAAGACTACATTTGCTGATCTCCTCTGATGCATCAAGGACTGTACGGGGGCTACTTTATACTCAGGCCTTCTGCTGACCTATATGGAGACTTTGTAAAATTAGAAAAAGTGCCCTGTAGAGGATGCCCCTTCCTCTAGAGTGAATCAGCCCCACACCAGGGCAGGCCTCAGGCTAGATTTCAACCCTAAGGTCCCCTCAGCACCTTGCATGGAGCTGTGTAGTTATTAATCTATTTACTTCTCATTACAGATCTATACTCTGGGCAATACTCCCTTTCTACAGATGAGAAAACTGAGGCTCAGGAAAGCTAAATGTCTTAGGAAGAGTAACAAAGTTTCTTGGTCTTGGAGCTGTACTTAAACCCCAGCTCTTCTGAGTTCCTTTTTTTTTTATTATTATTATTATACCTTAAGTTCTAGGGTACATGTGCACAATGTGCAGGTTTGTTACATATGTATACATGTGCCATGTTGGTGTGCTGCACCCATTAACTGGTCATTTACATTAGGTATGTCTCCTAATGCTATCCCTCAAGGATCTAGAATCATTCTTCTGAGTTCTAAGCCAGTGGTGGTTTCACCAGGACATTCTGCCCTCGGCCCACAGCAGAAGCCTCTGCACCTCCTTCCCAGCCCTCCCAGAGCAGTGCTGGGATAATCTCCTCCTCCACAAGGCTCTGGGCATTTGTTATTTTGCCTATGGAGGGAGTAGCCTCTTTGGAAAGGAATGCCTCTTTCAGGGGTGCTTCTCAGACTTGATAGATCAGCGTCCCCTAGAGATCTTGCCAGAGGGTCTGGGGTGGGCCCTGAGCATCTGCCTTTCTGATAAGGTCCCAGGCCATGTGGCTCCTGCTAGTCCATTGGCCACACTTTGACTCGCAGACCTTTAATACAGCAGAAACCAGTCACTGAGTTCCACCTTTTCCCGTTGCCCTGAAGACATGATGAAAAGATAAACAAACGTTTATTGGGTATCTACTATGCACTAGGCTTAGTTCATTCTAGCAGGTAAAACAGGAGGAAATAGCCACGCTCAGTGAAATTTAATAATTACTACATCACACATAGCCCTTGCAAGGAAAAATCAGCAACATGTTAAGAAAAATGAAAGGGATTGAATTGACTCAATAGGCAATGCTGTGACACAGGGAAGCACGAGGCCTTGGGGGTCCCATGGGCAGGCGCCTCAGCCAGCCTCGGGATGATGGGCTTCCTAAAGGAGGCAATTAATAATGAGGATGGTGATAGCATCAAGAATTATGGTTACTCTCTGTGGAATAACTGTCTGGAGTGTCTGGAGTGTCAGACGCTATGCCACACGGTTTATGTACTTTATTTAATTTTACAATTGTCCTATAACACAGGGGTGTCCAACCTTTTGGCTTCCCTGGCCCACATTGGAAGAAGAAGAATTGTCTTGGGCTACACATAAAATATACAAATACTAATGATACCTGATGAGTGAAAAAAAAAAAACGAAAGAAAAGAAAAAGATCCGTGCATAAATCCCGTCATGTTTTAAGAAAGTTTACCATTTTGTGTCGGGCCACATTCAAAGCTGTCCTGGGTCGCATGCAGGCCGCCGGTTGGACAACCTTGCCATAACACATTATTTCACAGATTGGAAAACTGAACATCAAAGAGATTAAGCAATTTGCTGAAGCCAACAGAACTGAATCAGTGCATGATTTTATAGTTTATCTTATACTTTTTAGACCAACAAATGTTGGTAATGATTTTGTGCCTCTTTGCCTGATGAGAACTTGCAGCACCAGGTGTCATTTCCATCCAGGTAGATCAGAGTGATCTGGGAGTTTGTTTACAAAGCAGATTCCTGGGCACCACTGTGGACTTATTGAATCTGAACTCTGAAGGTGAGGCCCGGGAATCTGCCTCTCCCAAGCTTCCCTAATGAGGCTGATGGAAACACTACTTTAAGAAGTTAGCTGCTGGGAGCAGTGGCTCACACCTGTAATCCCAGCACTTTGGGAGGCCAAGGCAGGTGGATCACGAGGTCAGGAGTTTGAGACCAGCTTGGCCAGCATGGTGAAACCCCATCTCTACTAAAAATACAAAAAATTAGCTGGGCTTGGTGGCGTGCACCTATAATCCCAGCTACTTGGGAGGCTAAAGCAGAATTGCTTGAACCTGGGAGGTGGAGGTTGCAGTGAGCCAAGATCACACCACTGCACTCCAGCCTGGGCGACAAAGTGAGAGTCCATCTCAAAAAAAAAAAAAAAAAAAAAAAAAAAAACATTGGCATCTTGAAAAGTGGATGCCATGCAGTAGAAGCCTGATCTACCCAATTCCCTTTGTCATCCTCACTATAAAAATGTAATCGCCTCACTAAACAGAAATGGGTACTAGATATATATTTCTTGGTTTGTTTAGTAAATTTACAGAGTGCACATAGGGTAAATAAAAAATCAGCAAGAAGGCAGAAGAACCTGAATGCTTTGAATCAACTATGTAGGAAAAGCTAATTGTTTGATGAAGTACTTATTGCTTGACACAAAATTTTGAAGAAAGGCTCTTTATGCAAACTTGTCTAAAACATCCTTAAAGTTTAGACAAGATATAGATAGAAATAGAATAAAAGATTTTATTTCTATAGATAGAAATAAAATAGAAAAATTCACCCACAAGGATATAAGACATCTTATCATTTACAAAAGGCTCAATGACAAATGATTTTTATAAAACTCAATTGGAAGTGCCATTAGACAAATTGGTTTAAGAAGTATCCTTTAATTGCACATTCTAATGTGGACAAGATAATCATTAGGTGAATAGATTTTAGGCAAATTAGCTTTTAATAAATTGGTTTAGGGAAAATTGCTCTTTTACTTTTTACATGTTGGGAGCATAGAAATAGAATCTGGAAATTATCCCAATGACCCCCCAGGATGGACATTGGTCCAGATGCTGGATGGAACTGATGCATCCTGGCCTTGAGTGCTGCAGTATCCCTGCCTCAGGCAGCACCATACACCAAGCGATTTAGCACCCTGAGCCAGTGATTCTCAGCTCCTTGTATATGCTGAGCATTTGGGAAGAATCTTTTTTTTTTGAGATGGAGTCTCACTCTGTCACCCAGACTGGAGTGTAGTGGCACAATCTCGGCTCACTGCAACCTCCACCTCCTGGGTTCAAGCGATTCTCCTGCCTCAGCCTCCCGAGTAGCTGGGATTGCAGGCACGTGCCACCACGCCCAGCTAATTTTTGTATTTTTAGTAGAGACGGGGTCAAAGTGCTGGGATTACAGGCACGTGCCACCACACCCGGCCAGGAAGCATCTTAAATCCAAATGTCTGGCCCAAAGATTCTGGTTCAGCAGGTCCAAAGTAAAGCCCAGGAACATGAAGTTGCATCAGGCAACTATTGCAGGTGTTCCAAGGACTCTGCTCTAAGAAATAGTGCCCTTTTGTTCAGAGAAAAGGACAAAAGTAAGAGGCCAAGAGTTATTTTTGACTGTGGCTTTTTACAAATGCAATGCTGGGCCAGGTGGCCAGCACTGGGTGGCCACCCACTTTGGGAGGCCGGGGTGGGTGGATCACCTGAGGTCAGGAGTTTGAGACCAGCCTGGCCAACATGGTGAAACCCCATCTCTACTAAAAATGAAAAAAAAAAAAATTAGCCAGGCATCATGGCGGACACCTGTAGTCCCAGCTACTCGGAGGCTGAGGCAGGAAAATCACTTGAACAACCCGGGAGCGGGAGGTTGCAGTGAGCTGAGGTTACACCATTGCACTCTTGCCTGGGCAACAAGAGCGAAACTCTGTCTCAAAAAAAAAAAAAAAGAAAAAAATTAAAAAAAGAAAGAAATATAATGCTGGAACCCAACCTAGAATCCCTGAGAAGAGGAATGAGCATCATTGTGATTCTGATGCACCCCCAGTCCTGGTCCTGAGGACCACAGGGCAGTGAGCACGTTCCATCATTGCCCAGCCTCAGAGTCCTGCTGCAGCACATGTAGGAGGAGCCATCCAGGAACTAGCTGGGAAGACAGGGCTGACCCAAATGGAGCCAGCAGTAACCAGCACAAAACAGAGCCAAATTCACTGGCGCTGCTGACCACCAGGGTTGTAGGAGTTAAGGGAGGAAAGGCTGCCAGAGGAAAGCGGGTCTTCATTTGCCGCTTGAGGGGCAAATGCAATTTTTATTATCAAGGAACAGGAAGGCATTTCAGGAGGTGAGTACAGCAAAGGCCCTGAAGAGAGAAGGAGCGTGGTTATCGGGAAATCCAGAGGCCAGAGTGGACGAGAGAGATGTAAGTGGGAGACTCATAGTAGAGTCCAGACAGAGTCATACTTGGACTTGCAGCATGGACTGAGCATGGAGCCATCATGGACCTCACGCATGCCCAGCAGGTGCTGTAGGGAGATAGATATCTGGTACAGAGTGGGGACAGATCAGAGGGCTGGGACCGCATTATCCACACGATAAGAGGAGATGAGTGTCTAGACTGGTGTAGTGGTCAAGAAGCCAGAGAATACAGAAGTCTGAGTGGGAAAAGGGAGATTAAAAGCTTAGATGGAAGTTCAGAATGACAGATAATATGCAGCTGGTTCCAAATCGTGCCTCTAGTTATGTTATGGGGAATGACTTGGTGTTAAGATGTTGTAAAAATATACAAATAGGCATTGCCACTCTAACAAAGACATGAGCTGCCCAGCCTCTCCTCAGTTATCCACAATTTTAGGGAAAGATAGAGACTGCATGGCTAATTCACAGAAAGCAAGTAATTCTACCTGATTTTAGCCCTTTTCTTACTTTTGTTCATTTTTATGAAATCCACTGAGCCAAAAATGATTTTAAATGATTTGCTTTTATTCGCTGCCCTTTAATTCATAGCTATGTGCATCACAATGACCAGAAAGGAGATGCAGCAGGAAAGAAGGAGGGGGGTTCCCCAAGGCCCCAGCATGCCTTTCCTGGAACAGTAAGAACAACCGTCTCCACTAACTTGGTCCAGCTGGCCTTTTCTTCCTTGCCTGTTTCCATAGAATTGCTGGGGCTCACTTGGCCAATTTTCTAGTGATGAAACCAAGTAGGTTTTGCTATGGAAGAAGTCACAAGAAGTGGTGGAATGTTACGAGAAGCTATTGATTAACAAGATGGGCAGAACTCAATATAATCACTGCTCCTTCCTAGGCAGAGAATTCCACTCTGCCCTCCTGGTTCTTTCTCCTGACCAAGCAAATGAGCACCTACTTGCCTTAGAGAATCAGAGTCTTCAAATGAAGGACTATGGGTTAAGGGTCCTGGAGCAAAATCCTTAACACCTCAGGACATACTGCATTTGCTAGGTTTGCACTGAAGCTTTTTTTTTTTTTTTTTTGAGACAGAGTTTCACTCGCCCAGGCTATAGTGCAATGGTGCAATCTCAGCTCACTGCAAAGTCCACCTCTTGGGTTTAAGTGATTCTCCTGCCTCAGCCTCCCAAGTAGCTGGGATTACAGGCACCTGCCACCACACCCAGCTAATTTTGTATTTTTAGTAGAGACGGGGTTTCACCATGTTGGTCAGGCTGGTCTTGAACTCCTGACCTCAAGTAATCCACCTGCCTCGGCCTCGAAAAGTGCTGGGATTACAGGCGTGGGCCACCGCGCCCGCCTGCACTGAAGCTTCTAAGAGCTATGTAAGTGGACCCTTCAGTAAGATGAGCTGGACAATGGTGTTGAGTTTTTCCGTGTCTCAGCACTTTGGAACTAGCTAGCCTGCCTGTTAAGTTCCTGAATGTGGTGACCTTGCACCATGTGCATGAGGGGTCACAATGAACAGGACAAGCCCTCAGGAATGAACATGCGGAAGCCTGTGGTTATGACTGGTTTGCATTCTGGTGTTGGGGAGCAATCTTATCAGGCCCCCTGAAATGATTAGAATTTTCTGTGTCTCAGCGGTAGGATCAGAAGTTTAGTGTCCATATGCCACAACTGCGTGATCCTAAAATTGTAATCTGTTTCAGGCTCACATCTCCCTCCTAGAGTATCTATTTCTGGGGAAGGTGTGAATTCATCCCACAGCAGATCATCATAACTTTGGCTCATTCTGTAAACATGATTTGCATCTCTTGTGATGTGAGCTGGTCACTGAACAAGATGCTGAGGTTTGAGGTACAATAATAAATTACACACTGTCACTCTTCTCCGGGAGAGGAGACAGTTATGTAAACAGGAAGTGCAGCATAGTGTCTTCAGAGACCCTGTTTCATCATCTGTAAACATGAGATAATAATGGCATCTACCTCAGACTTGTTGTAAGGATTAAACCGGTTAGAATACAAAGAGCCCTTAGAACAGTATCTGGCACATAGTAAGCATGATAGAAGTCTTGATTATCATGACTGTCGTCATTCCTGCTATCATCATTAACACGATTAACACGGACATAATATGCATCCACGTTCCCACTCTCTTTCCACAGAGTGGGAAGAGGGATGTAATGATCAAGGAAGGCTTTTCAGGGGTGATTGTTTGTGAGGTGGATCTTGAAGGGCGACTAGTAATTGACCAAGAAGACAAAACAGAGGAGAATATTCTAAACTGAGGGAAAGTGACATGCAAAAGCCTAGGGTTATGGGAACATCAGGCAGTTTAGGAAACTCAGCAGTTCAGGAGTGAGGGTGGATGGTCTGGGTAATGGTGAGAAAAGTGGGCTGGAACTAAATGGGAGGTGGGGAAGCCGTGAGTGCTCCTCTTCAGTTCCTCACTGGGATAGGGAGAGGCATCTGTGGAAGGTGAGGATCCTGGAGGAGGCTGGGGAAGACTGCAGCAGCTCTTGGGAGAATGGCCAAGGCCACCTGGTCAACTTTGTTGAGCATGGAGACCCTGAATCCATGGGCCACCAAATAAGTAGAATCCACAGGAGAAGTGATCTGGGCCATAGGAGAGATTCTGCTCCAGCTTTTCAGGTGCCATAGGTAAGGTTATTTCCAACTGGGGGAACCAGAGCAGACTTTATAGAGGTACAATGTGGACATGAAGAGATGAACCAAGCAGGAGCCAGCCCATGGAAGGCCTTGAATGATGTATCAGGAAGGTTTAGTCCATGGATGGGTTTTAAACTGGGGAGCTACGTAATCAGATTTGTGCTCTAGGAATGTCATTTTGGCAGGACTGTAAGTTAGACTGGAGGAAGGCCACGTTCAAGGCAGATAGATCATTAGAGAAGAATCTATGGCCTCCGAGATGGAGAGTCAGAACTGCGTGGTGCTCCCCAACACGGGGTGCCAGTGGGGCATTGAGACTCCCTACTCCTCCCTGCTGTGCTGTTCCAGACCATGCTTCTCCCAGGCAAGCCTACAACCCACAGGGTTCAACCAGGTTCCCCTCCAGAAATGTGGGGTATGGCAGCAGGCTACATCTTCCCAGAAATGCCCTGGGGTCTAGTCTGACCCTGAGCCCCTCAAATGTGGAGCATCTCTAGGAAGCTCAATGGCATTGTCATGGAACCCAGCAGTTGGTCCTAGGTAGGTTCCAGCAGCCTGGAATCCCCTGTGGGAGCCTCCTTACTGTTTCAGTAGCCCACACTTGAGTGGGCCCACCAGTCCAGCAGTCACTCTCACTCCTGCCCCACTCGTGCACCCAAGCCAGGATCTGCAAAAACTAATCTTCACAAAGCATCCTCTCAAAGCAGGATGGTCGTCCCTAGGTGATGGAAGAGGGAATTAAGGTTGGCAGCAGTAAAGGCACTTGCAGAGTGGCATGCTGTTGGTGGACTTGACCCTAGGGCTGGCTTTAAATCCCATGCCTGTTGGGAAGTTCCAGCTTTGAAAGGATCTGTTCACATCATAATGGCAAAATTGTAGACATATATTGTAGACTAGCATGTCTTGGTCTGTTTTGTGTTGCTGTAACAATACCTGAGGCCAGGTAATTTGTGAAGAAAAGAGATTTCTTTAGCTCACAGTTCTGCAGACTGGGAAGTATGAGAAACATGGTGCTTCTGGTGAGGGCCTCTGGCTGCTTCCACCTATGGAGGAAAGCAGAAGGGGAGCTGGTGTGTGCAGAGAGCACATGGCAAGAGAGGAAGCAAAGGAGAGAAACTGAGGAACCCAGACTCTTCTTAACAACCCACTCTTCCTTGGGAACTAGTCCGTTCCTGGGAGAGCTCGAACTCGCTCACACCCACCACTAATCTATTCATGAGGGATCCACACCCGTGACCCAAATGCCTCCCACTAGGCCCCACCTGTTAAAGGTTCCACCTCCCGACATCCTTACATTGACAATTATATTTCACCATGAGTTTTTGCAGGGACAAACTGCATCCAAACCATAGTTTGGCGTATCCTAGCAAAGGTTTCCTTGACAGTCCATGGGTGTCCATGAGCAGAAGAGCTCATCACATGCCTCCTTCCTCCTGCCTCACTATCTGGGCCGCTCCCAAGTCTCTGACATACTGTGCATTAGACACCACTAATGTCTGGGTTCCTGAAGGCCCTTATGGCCAGTGCAAGTGCACTTGGAGTAGGAAACAAGAGTCAATGGATACTTGCTGAGTAGCACTCATCACGCTGGTGCCTCCAACTGACGCATTTTACCTAAGAGGCTCAACTCATTGGCCACAGTCTCCAGGTGAGCGCATCTGGTGTTCTGAGTTTCTTCTGATGCCCCCAAACTCACATCTGCCTCTCGCCCTCTTTCTGCCACAGATCCTGGCGCCCCTGTGAAATTGCCTTGTCTGCCAGTGAAACTGTCGCCTCCGCTACCTCCAAAGAAAGTCATGATCTGTATGCCCGTGGGGGGGCCAGACCTCTCACTGGTGTCCTACACAGCCCAGAAGAGTGGCCAGCAGGGTGTGGCCCAGCACCACCACACTGTCCTGCCCTCCCAGATCCAGCACCAGCTGCAGTACGGCAGCCACGGCCAGCACCTCCCCTCCACCACCGGCTCCCTCCCCATGCACCCCTCGGGCTGCAGAATGATAGACGAGCTCAACAAAACGCTGGCCATGACCATGCAGAGGCTGGAAAGGTAAAGGTGGGCACCAGGAGGGAGGACGGGAGGAGAGGGGTTGGCTGGGGAGGGGGGCCTAGGGATTTGGACCATGACTTAGGAATGTGAACAAGGGGTCATCCCCACTGGGGGAAAATGTTTGAAAGTAAAATGAGACAAAAAACTGAAGGTCAAAGCATGGAAAAAAAAAATGTTGCCAATTGAAAAGCTCTGGAATAATCACATTTATCGGAAAGAAAAACTAACATTCATGTATATATGTATATGCTTATATATACACACAGTCCTCAGTGTCATTAGTAGGTTCGTGAAAATTGCAACTTCAGTAAAATAAAATCTAACAAAACCAACTTAACCATAGACTAATTGATATAAACAAGACTTAAGTTCCTATAGCATATTTCTGGTCACAAAAATATCACCAAACTTCTAAATAAAGACCACAACACTTCTAATATTAAACATTGAAATAAATGTGAGCTGTACATACATTTAAGAAAGGTTAATAAAAACAAAGAAGATGATTACCCAATTATTCCAGTTCCGGGTGGTGGCTAGCCAGAGCATGTCCTAGCAGCCCAAGGCACAAGGCAAGATCTGGCCCTGGTCAGACATCATCCCCTCACAGGGCACACTTACACCCACACCCACACCCACACTCACTCAGACCTAGGACAGTGTAGACATGCCATTTCACCTGACATATACATCTTAGGGATGTGAGAGGAAACCTGAGTACACGGAGAAAACCCATGCAGTCGTGGGGAGAACGTGCAGACTCCACACAGACGATGGCCCCAGCTGGGAATCAGTTTGTTTTTTTTTTCTCATCAATGTTATGGCAAAATGACATTGAATGAAATGACCTTATTCAAGGACCTGCTGTATATCCATCTTTGCATACGTGTGAGTGTACGCACATACACATGTACACACACACACATGCATGCACACATGCACACGCACATGCACGCACATATTGTGTCTCTATAAGCATTAATGTTTTGTGGAAAAATGTATACGTAGTCATTAATAGCATTTATTCCTGGTGTGGTGAAATGGGGAGAAAATACTTTTATATTTCATATCTTTCTATAGTACTTTTTAATTCTGTGTATATTACTTTTATGATACTCAAAAGAATTAAAATATGAAATAAGAAAAGATGAGGACTGGCAGGTGTTGGAGGGAAACAAGAGGGCTGGGGAAGGTGGGAAGGTATACCCTGTTCTTGCTGATGGAGGAAGCAGAGTCCCAGGCTCTGATTATGTGCACTTGTGAGGCTAATATTTGGCCACTACCAAGGCAGCTCCCTCTTTCACCAGAATATGCCTCCAGTCGCTCTTCGGGGAGAGCTGCAAAGATGACCCCACAGGCAGGCCTGCAGCCACGACCCTAACTCCTCACCACATAGGGAGATCTCTCAAACTGGTTCTCAATTACTCTTGATTGTGTATACACACATGAGTGTATGTGTGTGTGTGTGTGTGTATTCAAACACCGCCACCTACCTCACATCCAAGAAGGCACTGGGATTTCCCACTGGGGCTCTGAGGCACATTGCTTGACTGAGTGCCCTGGTGTAACAAGGAGAAAGTATGATTATGAGGTGCAAAGGGTATCTCTGACTGTGAGCTGAATGCTTGTCCCATAGTAGTGGCTGCTGGTCATTGGGTCCTACAGATGGAAAATGGCAGTATGGAGGTCCCAGCGAATCACCAGAGAGCTAAAAGCGAGATGCACAGGCGGGAGCTTCGGGTTGTGTTTTCCTGACTCTCGGTGGCTTTCTCTGCTCCTGCCTGTCAGCTGAGTATTCTGCATTTGGGAAAGGAGTGATTCACTGGGAGGTTGCTGTGTCTAGGAATTCTGACTTGATTGTTTGGTGTTAACACCTGCCCTTGCTGCAAAAGGAAAAAAACAAAACTTAATTTGGCCCCTTGCTGTCATTGGCAACTATTCTTGTTATTAATTAGAACAATAATAATTTAAAATGTGGCTGGCACGTTTTAATCTATTACACATACACATTGTCATCACTGTCATTGTCATCTTATTTAATCCTCACATCATCTACGGAAACGGAGTAGATGGAGAAACTAAGGGAGGTTCACTAAGTTCCCCAAAGCCACCTTCTCAAAGGGTGGCCCACAAATGGCTTATCTCACATCTGCAACCACGTAAGTGCAGACATTGAGAACAAGTTTTAGATACTCTTACAGCAATATGACAGAATAATTTCATGTCTGTTGAATCTTGTCATTAAAAAGGGCTTCATTATTTTTACATTTGTATTATATTTTACAAAAGCATCAGTTTGTGATGGATCGAAAATGGAAAGAACTAAACAGTAAGAACTGTTTCTTCCCTGTAGATGTTTGGAAAACACTACCCTAGGTAGTAAGTTGAGAGGCTAAGCCTCCAGCCTGGGTCTTCCCTCTCCAAGTCCAGAGATCTTTGTACTAACACACAGCTGCTTCCTAAGGACATGTAGCAGCCAACGTCATTGCTGCCCACCCCCCCAACCCCATGTCTACATGCACCCACTAAGTTTTCATATCTCTCATGAGCGTCAATCATCAGAAAAGATACTTGGATAGCATGTTAATAGTATATTGCTAAATATGCTTCCACTTAAAAAAAACACCATATTAAAAGGTTCAATTAAAGATGCTAACTGACAAGTTTTATAATATCTGTGGGTATTTGCGGGATATTTCAGTTTAATTTAGACCAATGGGTAGATCTAGTCGGATAAGGGAATTTTGGTGGGGGCAGGGTATGCAGCATGATCTCGGCAGCAGAGCCAAGGCAGTCTCTGCGCTTTGTCCCAACTCAGAGTCATTTCCTCCTTCTTTCTCCCTCACTTCCCACTCGAGGTCAAAGCATAGGGTTGTCCTAACAGACCAACCAGGCTGCAGAGATTAATGCATGCATCAGTTTGACAAGATTGCCACCCCAGAGAAAGAGAGGCCCTCTTCCCAAACAAAGACCATCCCAGAGGCCCTCTTCCCAAACAAAGATTGGAGAGATTTTTCTGTGTGTCTCCAGTCATCTCCAGGAAGAATCTCAAAATAGGCCAAGGTCACAGGCCACACTTTTCAGTGTAGGGAGGGAATCACCAGCTGTCTTGGGTGATTTCCCCCTGATTTTTACTGCCTAAAAATTCTCCCTGTTGCCTGTCAACATGATTTCATTCTTGTTCTAACCAAGTTTTATACAGAAAGAAAGAATCATTTCTCTATCCTCCTGGCAATTTCCAGTGACCCCAAAAAACTCTGCAAGAAGGGAGAGGCATTACCAAACACTCAGGCATCCTGCCTTTAAAGTTCCTTGGACCGACCCCCTGTTTGGGCCATTGCTGCCCCCTGAAATCTCAAAGAATGTCACACCATAGGCCATCGGTCCAGATGGACAGTCTGATCCTGATGAAAAAGTTATAGGTAATATACAAAGTTGAATGGTGAATTAAACAGCATCAATGCCTGACACTGGACCATACATTTGCACAAGTCATCTTATCAATGAAAGGGGCCTTGAAGACCATCCAGGCCACCAAGCCCCTGCTCACAGCAGTGTTCCTGACCATTTATCCTCTGGTCTCTGCTCCAACAGGACGTTCCCCAGGTCCCAACATAGCCTGCTTCATTGTCAAGAAGGTCTGACTGTTAGAAAGTTCCCTCTCTATTAAAAGTTTTACTTACTGAAATTTGTATCTGCCCCTTCCCGATCTTATTTCTAATCTTCCTTTCCTGTAAAAGGCTTTTAAATCTTTGAAGATAGCTACCATTCCCTTCATTTAAGGACTTCTCTAGATCTTATACCATCTTGTTCGTGTTCCCCTGAGATTATACCAAATCTGCTCTGATTTATATGGAGAAGTTACTTTTTATTTATATTTTTTATTTTTGAGACAGCATCTCACTCTGGCACCCAGGCTGTAGTGCAGTGGCATGATCATGTCTCTCTGCGGTCTCGACCTTCCAGGCTCAAGCAATTCTCCCACCTCAGCCTCCTGAGTAGCTGGGATCACGGGTGCACGCCACCATGCCCAGTTAATTTTTTTTTATTATAGTTTTTGTAGAGATGGGGTTTTGCCATGTTGCCCAAACTGGCATCGAACTCATAGTCTAAAGTGATCATCCTGCCTCAGCCTCCCAAATTTCTGGCATTACAGGTGTAAGCCATGGCACACACCTGCAGAGAAGTTCTTAGACACTACCTTGCCTAAGCCTGCTTGATGGCACTAAACAATGGCGTGGTTATTTACAGCTTTGGCTCACAAGATTTGGGGGAAGGAGCTAGAATCCACTTGAAGCAAATTTAAAGGGTCATATTTATTCAAAATCACAGGGTTGCCCTAGGCAGTGGGGTCCGAGCTGGTGGCATCACACACCCCTACTTCAGGACAAAGTGTGTGGGTTCCAGAATTAACTGCCGGAGTTTGAGTCTTAGACACACCACGTATTAGCTGTGTGACCCAAAGCGTATGGCTCAACCTCTTTTTGATTTTCATGCCTTATCTGTAAAATAAAAATAATCATAATGCCAGCAGCCTCATTAGGGTCATTTGTAAGGATCAGATTATTTAATGAATCCAAATCAGTGGGGTTATTGCATGTCACACAGTAAGCAAATGGTATTGAACATTAGCCAGCATGGAAAATTTGTCTTCAGTGACCCTAGAATGGTTTGGGTAAGTCTGTTTGTTTGGGTAAGTTTCCTCAAATTAGATTATCTTCATTCCCCTCACCCTGGTGAGCCACATCTTTTGGAAGATGATGGTTTATCATTTCTTTTTTTTTTTTTTTTTTTTTTGCATTGAGATTTCCCCTCAACTTTCCATTCTAATAAATAACACTGCATTTTTTCCCCATTTTTGTACTTAAATCTTTGCTAGCCTTTACTCTTGTTCTTAAGAAACAAGCTTTTCTTAAAGTCATTAAAGAGTTGAATTCATGATTATTTAGTGACCCTGTTGTGGAACAACTTTTTATTTGTTTATTTTTATTTTTATTTCAATCGTTTTTGGGAAACAGGTGGTTTTTGGTTACATGGATAAGTTCTTTAGTGGTGATTTCTGAGGTTTGGGTGCACCCATCACCCGAGCAGTGTACACTGTACCCAGTGTGTAGTCTTTTATCCCTCACCAGCCTCCCACCCCTCCCCCTGAGTCCCCAAAGTCCATTATATCATTTTTATGCCTTTGTTATCATTTCAAAGATGATGCAGTGTTTTTATTTTTAATATCTGCAGTAAGCTCCGTGATCTAGTTGGCATCAATCCTAGAAGTCAGATGTAAAGTCCTAATCAGGACGCCGTTTCTTTCTGATCTTAATTCGGCTGATCTCTGTGTTCCAGTCTCCTATTAGTAAAATGAAGGTGGAATGTGGATCCATGTGGACCCTGAAGGAATTTTAGGAAGATTCTTAATGGAATGCACTTTAAAGAAGTCTTTCCCTTCTCAATTAAAGGCAACTTCACACT
This sequence comes from Homo sapiens, assembly GCF_000001405.40. Lineage (NCBI taxonomy): Eukaryota > Metazoa > Chordata > Mammalia > Primates > Hominidae > Homo > Homo sapiens. Next base: position 13,211,603 of record NC_000006.12, read on the forward strand.
TTCAGTCGCTCATGCCAAAGACCTGGAGTCACCCTTGACCCCTTCCTTTCTCTGGTTCCCCACATCTGACTGTCCGCAAATCCTGTCTGGTCCACACTGTACATACACAGGGATAAGACCAACACTTCTACATGCTCCTTCTTCTCCTGCCTGAGCCTCAGTCGGCCTTGCCTGGCTTACTGCAGTTTCTCCCACCTGTTCTTCTGTGTCCACACCTGCTCTGCAGCCCATCCCCACTACAACAGCAAAAGAGACAGGGTTTGAGGAAAGTCAGATCGTGACTGTCTTTGTCTGCAAGGACTGCCATTTAAAAACACACACACACACACAATGCGTGACTTAGATGACAGAAATTTATTGTCTTTCAGTTCTGGACGCTAGAAGTCCGAGATCAAGGTGCCAACAGGGTTGGTTTCTCCTGGGGACTCTCTTCTTGGCTTGTAGGTGGTGTCTTCTCTCTGTGTCCTCACGTGGTCTTCCCTCTGTGTGTGGTTGTTCCTCATCTCTGCTTATAAGGACACCAGTGATAGTGGATTAGGGCCCACACCACTGACATCATTGTAACTCCCTCACCTCTTTAAAGACCCTACTTCCAAATACAGTCACATTCTGAGGCACTGGGACTTAGGACTTCAACATATGAATTTATCTGGGGACACTGCTCAGCTCTTAACAATGTCTGTGCCCAAAATGCTTCTGTCGCTGTCCAACTCACTAAGAGTAAAAAGCAAAATCCTCCCCATGGCCCAGAAGCCCACACCCACTCCAAGTTCTTTTGCAAAGAAAAATCTACTTACTCTTCAAGACATTATTAAAATACCAGGTCCTCTGTGACCCCTTCTCAGATTCTGGTACAGATCTCTGCCCTCCTGCACACACCCCTTTTGCATACTTGCATCAGGTTATGTGTTTCTCTCTATATTCTGTCTTTAATGTGGACAGGAACCATCCTTGTCTCCTCATCTGCTATGGTTTGAGCGTCTCTTCTCCAAAATTCAGGGTTGAAACCTGAGTATTAACGGACTGCCCCTGTGGTCTCCCTCGCTTCATCAGCTCCCCTCTCTGTTGCTCCCTCCTCCCTCACACAGCGGCCTTCCCACCATTCTCGCACATTCTCGGACATTCTCGGACGTGCCGGACACCTCCTGACGGGGCCTTGGCACTGGCTGTTCCCCTGGACGGACTGCCCTTCCCTCAAATATCCTCAGGGCTCCTACACTCACCTGCCTCGGGTCTCTACTCAAATGTCACATCCTCAATGAGGCCCTTCCCGTTCAATATTGCAACCCTCCTCGCAACACAGCCTGTTCCCCAGCTCCTTTTATTCCTATCAAAGCATTTTTCACCATCTAACGTTTTGTGTCATTTGCCTTTCATTCGGTTTGTTGCTCTTCTCACCTAATAGAACATACAGTCCACAAGGGCAGGAACTGTTTTGTTCATGGCTGTATCCAGAGTGCCTACAACAGGGCCTGGCTTATAGGTTTGAGTGAGTGAGTGAGTGAGTGAGTGAGTGAAAGAATAACTGAATGAATGGAGAGCCTCTCATAGCTGCAGTGATATTCTTTCACTTATTAATCTGCTTCCTATTGATGGATTGAGTTCTCACAAGGCATATGTTATATAAATATTAAGCAGTATTAGTGGTCTTTAACCTTTTATATTTTCTTTATTCTAACAATTTGAACTGTTCCCTCTGTTTGGAATGCACTCTCTTACATCCTGTCCTCTACCACCCAGAGCAGCTTCTTTCACAAAGAAAAATTCTTGTTCTTCAAGACATTAAAATACCAGGTCCTCTGTGATCCCTTCTCAGATTCCCATACAGAGCTCTGCCCTCCTGCACACACCCCTTTTGCATACTTGCAACAGGTTATGTGTTTCTCTGTATATTCTCTCTTTAATGTGGATGGGAACCATCCTTGTCTCCCCATTTGCTATGGTTTGAGTGTCTCTCCTCCAAAATTCAGGAGTTGAAACTTAATGGCCAATGTCTTAGTATTAACAAGTGGGGCTTTGAAAAGGTGATTAGGCCATGAGGGCTCCTCCCTCATGAACGACATTAAGACCCTTGTGAACTGGACTTCACACAGCAGCATAAAGCCCTCTTGGCCTTCCACCATGTGAGCGTGCCGCGTTTCTCCCAGCCAGAGGCTGCAGCCCTCACCAGACAGCCAAACCTGCCAGCGCCTTGATCTTGGACTTTCCAGCCCCGACAACTGTGAGGAAATACATTTCTGTTCTTCTTAAATTACCCAGTCTTGGGTATTTTATTATAGCAGCACAAATGGGCCACAATCTGCCATAGTACCTGTCATGTAGGAAGTATTCTGAAACTATTTATGGAGTGGGTTTCATTAAAAGTTACTCTAATCTTTGAAATAGAAAAATATCTTACTTTTATGATCAATGTTTTGTTACAAACTGTCTCAATTATAGAAACAGGCTTTTGCATACTTACCTGGCAGTGGAGATACCATGATCACGAAGGTGGTTTTCCCAGGGCGAGGCTTATCCATCGCACTCCGGATATGCTGACCCCTGCGATTTTCCCAAATGTGGGAAACTCGACTGCATAATTTGTGGTAGTGGGGGACTGTGCTTGCGCTTTCCCCTGAAAAAAAAAAAAGCAAGAAAAGAAACAGGCTTTTGCTGAGGATCCACTCCTGCTTCCCCTGTTGGGCCATTCCTGTTGTGTTGTGTTTGATGTTAGAAACAACGTACAAAGTTCCTCCCTTAAAATTAAATCTAGATCTTTACTTGTCATGCCTGATAATATCAAACTAGAGCTCCAGATACTATAATTTTGATTATGAACTTTAGCCATCATTGAAGTACATCGTCCCTTCTTATTAATTCTCTTGGAGCAAATCCTTCATGAATGATAAAATGGGAGAGGGGTCATCATCCTTAGCTAAGGTAGGGATGCTAAGATCGCTAAGGTGTAGGGAATCGTATTTGATAGTTCAGCTCTATCCAGTGTCCTTAGACTAAACCTGAAAGTTAACTTCCAGAATTTTACGCTGAGACCTGAAAAATAGGAGCAATCATGTAAGGAGGAGAAAGGCAATGCGGGTACATTCTAGACGGATTAGAGGAAGGAGTGTGTTGGTAGACCAGGTGAGTTCACATGGGAAGAATAATTGAAATCTCTGAGTTTGATCTAAAAAGGCTAAATATGAATGAGTTTTTGTTACTAGTATCATTCATGCATGCTATCAACTGATGCAAAATATCAATAGATATTTTTAATGATGCCTTCTTTACACCCAGTGAGTTTTAGTTTAGGAAAATTTTAAGTACCATACATTTAGTTCTGATGGAAATTGCCACCTATGGGCCTTAAAAATGAAAAAATAAATACGTTTCTAATAAATTCATTCTTTATCTACCTCTTCCTGTCCCAAAGTCCCTGAGCAGCTAAATGAAGAAAGCACTGACATTTGCCAGGAAAAAATTTCAGGCAATTACTGACTTGTAAACCTTGAATGAAAACAGGCCCTGCAAAAAGAAAGGATGGTACCTGTGTTTGCTTAGCAAATGGAAGATCCACCAATTCTTTGCTGAGTACATTTTCTAGACCAGGCTCCGTGCTTGGCACTGGGGATGTAACAGTGAACAAAATACAGAAGATAACCCTCAGTGCAGGTTAGAACCTGCTGGGAGTATAGACTGGACAGATCAGTACCCATGAGAGTGCAGGGAGGGAGAAGAATGTGCAACAGGAATGTCAACTGGTCTATGAAATTCGGAGTTGTCTTCTCTGAAGAACTGCATTTAAACTAAAAGCTAAAAGAGAGGAATAACCAGATGGAGAGGAGAATGGGAATGAGAGAACATTTAGGCAGATTAGAGGAAGGGGTGATATACTGTCTCCAGATAGAGAATGAGGTTTTTGATAAGAAAAGGGAGTTGGCATTTGTTTTCCAGGTTTTTAGAAGACATAGCATAGAGAATGAGATTGATGACGTAACATTGTAATCAGATATAAGGAAGAACCCAAGAGCCAACAGAGAGGACACTGAATATTTTTTAAGAAAAATCAGGCTAATAGGAGTCCCAAATGGTTTACTCATGTACTTATGTAAAGAAAAACCATACAGGTCGGATCAGCTGCTAAGGACATATCCAACTCTAACTGCAGATTAGATATATTGAAGTAGGTTAACTGTAATGTGAAATTTTGGAGAAGTAGAATGGCTTTACCTCTGCTGGCATAGTCAATGTACATCTGTGTTAACATGGATAAGCCAGTCCAATCTGGATGATCAACTAGATGCAGGAAAGTTCCAGAGTCGTCTTGAACTCTTAGCAACACCCATTGATCACTGCATGCCAAGCATTGTGATAGGCACAGAGTAACAAAGCAATCTTTCCTTTAAAATTATAACTGATAAGTTTATACGAATAGTTTATTATTTCTTATAATGTCCCCTTTTTACATTTACATATTAGCTAGAGATGAATTTGTCAAGAATATTGAAAAAGGAATCATTTTTACATTGGACAGAAGAAATTGAAATCAGTAGACCCTCAAATCCCTCCAAGCTCTAGAATTCTATTATCCCATGATTATTTTTAGGCCTTTCAAAGAGCACAATACAATTTATAATCCTTGGGTAAATACATTTCATGGTTACAATTACTTTTCTTCATGTTGCCTCAAGGGTCACAGGAAATTCTAAAGAATAATTCTTCCTCCTAAACTAGATGATCCCTAGGGTTTCTTTTAGCCTTAACAGTCTAAATAATTATTGTATTGGCTTATGTCTGTAATGTTTCACCTGCTAATTAGGGTGTTCCCTGACAATACACAGATATGAATCAGTGCCTCAGCAAGAATGAAACTCTGAACACCTAGGTGTTGTTTGCTTGTGAAGTGGTGTTGCTTTGTAGTTCCGTGTTTCTTCATGACATAACAAATGGCCTACATTGTTAAATGAAATATGTTTCCAGGGAAAGATTCTCTTCTTATGGTGATGATCATCTCTTCAAAATCTCACACAATTCCAGCTAGACATTTGTCCTTGCCCCTTGGAAGCCAGCACTGTCAATCTCTTACTTTAGGTCAGTTCTTTGATTTTAAAGCCTATATTTATCATCTTTAATTGCCTACACGTACATGTTGTTTTTCAGATTTAACTGCTATTCCAAGGTACATGATGTGGTTTTAGTGCAAAGTAATGTCATTATGAGCAAGACCCATCTTTCCCTATAAGGTTGGCAAGGAAATTGTCTAAGCAATTTCCTAAGTTGCTTAACTTTAAGGAAGTTAAAATGAAACTGTACAAACCATTAACACCTTTTTAAGACTTAAGAGGATTAAAAAAAGGAAGTGTATTTTCAAAAGAAAGGGAATCTGCTTTTGATTTTTTTTGCTTCAATAGAAATACTGCCCTTTTCCAATGCACAAATATTGACTCTTTGATCTTCTTGGAAACCATCGTCCAGAAAGTTTTGCAGATCAAAAATATTAAAACACTAAAGGAAATATTTTAATAAATTAGTGGGTAATATCTATAATGACTAATTTATGATAAATTGTTGGTGTTGACATGTACTCCTAGTTAAAACGGCAACTCTCAGCATTGTTGTCCAGGAAGCACACTGCACCAGCATTGTCTTCTAATTTCGCAGCTGCCTGGGAGGTGGGCACCTAGGTTTCTCCATTTAACTGATGAAGAGCCAAACACCAAGAGACAAGGTTAGCAATGGCCCAGCTGGGACTCGCACCATTCTGCTGACTCTCTGTCCTGCCTTTTTAGTACCCATGCTCAGCCAAGCATGCTAGAACACTCACCAGCGTCTAGGGACAAAGTCAAGTAGAAAAGCCACCACTGGTTTCTCCATCAGAAATAGAGAGTGCTGGGAGGGATGGGCTCTTGGTCAGACTCTGTGTGTCTTATGGTTTTGTTCATCACATCCCAATCCCAGATAATATTTCAGAAATGTGGGTCATTGGTCCCTGAAAGGACAGAGGCTGTGAACAAATTAATTTAAATCCATTACCACTGCTGAAAAAAAAAACTCAAAATACATTTTCTATTCAGGAAGGCTCAGTACCCTCGTCTATATATAGAACAGCATAGTTTCCTGCTGACTAAAGTTCAACAAAAAACAAAAGCTTTAATGTTACATGTCTTATCTTAGAAGGCTAATCCTAGGCCATGATAAACCACACAATGTATGCCTGCTTTCTTAAAAAGAAGCTGATTAACTATTTTCTTAGGCTACATTGGTTATTTCTGCTATTTTTCAGCCTCAGGCACTGCAATTTGCAGCATAATTTCTCACACATTTTTGGTCTCCAAGAGGAAAGTGGCTGATTATTCTCTCTCCCCTCTGAAAACTCTCTTCATAACTTGTGCAGACTAAATTACAAAAGCTGTTCCTGTTGAAGTTTAATTTGGCTTTCAGTGTCATATTTGTAGATAATAAATTTTCTCTGTCCTTTGAGGAGATTAATGTCTTTCTTTTTTTTAACAGTGGATGCATTTAAAATCAGATATCAGAAAGCAATATTCCCTTTATTACATGTTTTTCTTTAGAAATGATGGTGAAATGGATCCCACCTATTTTAGAGAAAGATTAAGGATTTAAAAGAGACAGTGATTTTCAATTTTATGACCTGCCCTTGATTCCCTACAAGAGTTTCAAAGGTGTTTGCCGGCCAGTAATTCCCCTCCCATGGATGGGTCACAGTGATTTCCTACTCATCAGCCTGTACCGTGGAATGGAGATAAAGTGATGATTACAAAGCCCCCTTGAAAAGGGAGTGCCTCTTATAATGACCCAGACTCACTGTAGATGTCTTGGCATTCATTCCTGTATGAAAGACTGAAAGTAAAGTCTGGGCCTTACCCTTATCCAGTAATGAACATGAAAGATAAGTCAGTGTCTTCATTTTTGAAGTCTAGAGATCCCTTAAAAATATTCGGCCATTGAAATGGTGGGAAAAGGCCAGGCACGGTGGCTCACTCCTGTAATCCTAACAACTTTGGGAGCCCAGGAGTTTGAGACCAGTCTGGCCAACATAGCGAGACCCCATCTCTACAAAAAAAATCAAAAAATTAGCCAGGTATGGTGACACCTGTTAGTACAAGCTACTCAGGAGGCTGAGGTGGGAGGATTGCTTGAGCCCAAAGGTCCAAGGTTGCAATGAGCTATTTAAAAAGAAGAAGAAGAAGAAGGAGGAGGAGAAGAAGAAGAAGGAGGAGGAGGAGGAGAAAAAGAGGAGGAGGAGGAGGAGGAAAGAGAAGAGAAGAGAAGAGAAGAGAAGAGAAGAGAAGAGAAGAGAAGAGAAGAGAAGAGAAAAGGTAGAAAAAGGGAAAGGAGGCAGAAATGGTTATCTACCCGGGCTCTCAACCTATGCATCTCCTACTTAGTTTAACAGAGTTAAAGAGAAGAGTCGAGTTTTCCAAAAAGAAGGCTTGGTAAAGGTCATTCTTGGTGGGAACAAGACCAAGGGAATAGAGTACAGCTTTTCACCTCCCTAAGGCATCCTGTAGATGTGATGAGAGGAAGGCAGTTTTAAATGTGTGCCTTTTATTGACTCGGGACTGCCATTTTCCTCTCAAGCTTTCCAAATATGTCTCTTTTCAGTGTTTCTTGTGTAAATAGCAAGGCTTCTGTTTTAGGGATACTTCTGTTCATTATTTTCTGTTCATTTAAGCTGTTCCATCCTCTAGGGGAAAATGAGGATGAAACAAAGTCCTCATCCTTGTGAGCTTACTCGTTAGTGGGAGCGACAGGTAATAAGCCTGTGAATGTGTAATGTGATGTCGGGCAGGGACGGGGCACTGAAGAACCATCATGCAGGGTCATGGGAGGAGCGTGGTGGTGATGCCTCTCTATCCTCAAGGAGACGTGTTATTAAAGTGGCCACAACAGATACAAAACCCACTGCACGACCCCTTTTTATCAGCAGCGCTCCGTTGTGCAAGGCTGGATTATCCAGCCTGGTAATTATTCTGTCCTTCCTCTTGTCGCCTATTCTCTCCGCACACCTACTCACCCCCAGCCATGTGCTACTCACACAAAACTTGTATCCCCAAGTCTAGAATTCAAACCCCCTCCCTGTGTGTTCCATAATAGCGCTCATCATGGGACTCTTCACAGCAAAATTCATAGCAAGAGAGTAGCTGGATTGTGTGAACATCTGTTATCCTTGCTTTTTGTTATAAAAATATTATAGTCCACGGTTTTTAAAATTTGCGGTATAAATTGCATTTCATAGTCAGCATATACATCTACAGAAAAAATGATGGGCTTTGCTGATTCTCCAGGAGAAAGCAACATGGTTCATGGAAAGAACACAGGCCCTGGGTGGGAAGACCTGAGTTCACATCCTGCTGTGATCACTGCCGAGTGATCACTGTGTTCTCAGAAACCTCATGTCCCCATTCATAAACAATCAAGATAATAACAATACCCTTCTTAACTCTGCAAGTTTTTGTGGTGATTAAATGAGATGATGAACATTTACAACACGCTTTCATAGGGCACTAAAGGACCATCTGCGGTAGCCATGTGGTGGTTTTGAAAGATGCTCCTGCTCCTTCATCCTGAGCTGTGGAACCCGCTGGTATCTTTAAGACATTGTGTGGAAATATTCCGAAATGGTGCATCTATCTGTCCAACATCTTGTGAATATCATGGAATGCTGTTCAGTTTCTGCATGTTCATCCCTATTACATTTGTCAAGAAAATGACATTATTTGGTGCTACCTAGGTGATAGGGAGCAGAAATTCATCTGTTTTTCCCTTGGAAAATAATTTAAGGCCTTTGGTCTTTGTTTAAATTCATTATAGAATGTTAGTATAAGAGGAAACCATATAGATCTCATCAAGCTTAATGACGTCACCTTACAAAGCAGCCTAACTTTGGACAGTCTGAATTAAAGTGGGCTGACGGCCTGTGAGTATAGAATTGGAAACTGGAATATCATAAGCTCTCTCTGTTACCTCTTCTGTGCAGACACAGTCCTGGAATGAAGGCCACACGGTACCAATGTGCTCTTGCTTGCATAGATCTCTGTGCCTTAGCTCCTTGAGTTGTCTTCTTAGGAAAAAGACCTCTAGAGCACTATTTCCAAAAATCCTAATGCTCCTTTCACAAAGATAATTTCCCTACAACAGCAAGACTCTATCTAAGGGTCAGGGATCCTAATTTTAGCAAATTAAGTAATTGAAAATGTAATGTGGTGTATTCTGATTGTGTGTGACTTCAATTCAAATATTTGATCAACTTATCCATCAGTTCCAAACACATGTGCAATGTAGAGGTAGAGGCAGGAAGATCATCAGCCTCTGTCTTGGAGAGGCTCACAGTTAATTGGCGTGGGGGGTAAATGCTTAGCCTGTAATTATAACATAATGTGGCAGATGCTATAACAAAGCTGGGAACAGAGGCTATGGATGTGCAGAGAAGGGACTGATTTCCATTGGAAAAATCAGAAAAGGATGCTCAAATGAAATGAGATTTGAGTCATCCCTGAAAGATAGGCAGGATGCTCTCTCTAGGCCAAAATCTGAAGGGTGAGTTCTGGGGCGGAGCAACTGCAGGAGCAGAGGGAGGAGGCAGGGAAGTCCACAGGGTACTTGGGCAATGGCAAGTGGTCTGATATGGCTGGAACCCTAGGAAGATGGTAAGGAATAATAACAAATGAGATTGAAAGGAGTTGGAGGGTCAGATCGTGAGGCACCTCTTAATCCATGCTGTAGAGGGTGGAGTTGATCCAGTTTACAATGAGGCCTTTCCTGGCTCTTTTGATTAGGAGAATTACATGATCAGACCAGTTTGACAGCAGAATAGAGGGTGGACTGGGTGGGTGGGGAGGGGGAGGGTCTGGAAGAAGATTAAAGTTTGCAACCATTGGGGGACCACTACTTCTACATAGGCAGTGGTATAGTGACATCAGTAGATCAGGTCCTGTAGTCTGATGGCCTGAATTCAGTGTCTGCACCCCTCTGGTTGTGTGACCTTGGCCACGTGCCTTTGCATTTTCCCATCTAAAACGGGAAGATCACAATAGTACCTATCTCTTAGGATCCTTGTGAGGCTTAAGTGAATCAACACGTGGGACAGTGTGAGCATTTAGAAATGTTAACTTCCATCATCATCTGTAATAATCCAGTTAGAATGAACAAAGGTGGCCGGGCACGGTGGCTCACGCCTCTAATCCCAGCACTTTGGGAGGCCAAGGCAGGTGGATCACAAGGTTGGGAATTCAAGACCAGCCTGGCCAAGATGGTGAAACCCTGCCTCTACTAAAAATATAATAATTAGCCAGGTGTGGTGGTGGGCACCTGTAATCCCAGCCACCTGGGAGGCTGAGGCAGAGAATTGCTTGAATCCAGGAGGCGGAGGTTGCAGTGAGCCGAGATCACGCCACTGCACTCCAGCCTGGGTGACAGAGTGAGACTCCATCTCAAAAAAAAAAAAAGAATGAACAAAGACTCCATCTCGGAGGTTAGGATGAGATTCCTCATGTTTACCTGCGGTTTTAGAAGCTAGTTAGCCCTTAGGAAGAGGGAGGGTGAACACAACCCATGTGCAATGAAGTCCATTTGAATTTGAAGCCAACTAAATGCTTAATGCCAAAGAATGTTGATGTGAGTGATCTAGAATAGATTTTATTACACGAGTCAGCAGTTCCTGTTGATAGGTACTCTGGAAGATGTGACTCTCTCAGACCACTGAGTGTCATTCAGTAAATCACTGATCTGGGCAAAGAATGAGAAAACCTGTTTCACTCAAGCGTCAGCCTGGAGCTCTTGCATTCATGGGGTAACTAACAGCTCAGGAACTGAAGGCAGGAGTGCAAGTAACTGAGTAAGTAGAACCCCACGAGCATCAGCATCTTGTTGCAGCCCCCAGAATGCCAGCCTCACACCTGATAAGTCAGGAACTCACATGAGAGGATCTGGACAGTTCTTCATCATTCAGCGAATGCTGCAGATTCCTGATAATTAATACCTAAGTGGCTTTTGAAGAGACTCACATGGTACAGTGCTGAGAATGCAGCAAGCAGCAAAGCCACTGTGGATGCTCTAGGCCAGTGGCTCCTAATCTGGGATGATTTTTGTCCCCCTGTCCCCCAGAGGACATTTGGCAATGTCTGAAGATTGTTTTGGCTGTCACAGTTGGAGGAAGTGCTGCTGGCATCTGGTGGGCAGAGGCCAGGGGTACTGCTAAGTGTACTACAATGCACAGGACAACCCTCAAAGCAATGAATTATCTGGCCCAAAATGTCAGTCATGCCTGTGTCGAAAAAGCCTGGTCTAGAGCAACATTTAACCAAACTGTGATATCTGCATCATTGGTGGTACAGAAAATGAGTTTAGGACAACCTTTTATTAGTTTTAATATTTTATTGAATATTGTATGTACTTATGCATATATCAATATTGAAAATATATGTATTACAAATATAAAAATATATCTTAACATGTTATAAACCTATATGATTTACATACAAAACCTGTTATTACAAAGATATCATTTGCTTAGGATGAGGTTACAATAGTGTTTAAATTTTTAAAAAATACCGTACTGACTTAAAAAATTACAAAGTAAATAATAGTGTAAATGGACTTCAAAGATGCCATACACAAAAAAGATTAAGGAGGTGGGAGTATAATCAAGGTTTAGAAAACACTGGTTCAGATCAGGGCACAGAAAATTTTTTCTTTAAGGAACCAGATAGATAGTAAATATTTTCAGCTCTATTGCAACTACTCCACTCTTCTATTTTGGTGCAAAAGCAGCCAAGGTGAATCGGTGAATAGATGGGTCTCCTGAACGCCCTGAGTATTAAACTCAGTGCCCCAGGAGTGGCCTGGTCATGGCAGGGTAGAATACTATTACCTACCCTAGTTAGTAGGACTTAAAATAGTTATAAATAATGATGCCCATTTTTTACACACGTTGTTGACAAGGTATGATATTTCCTCCATCTTGCCTGGGTACATTTAGTCAGGTGTGTGTTTTATCAAAGGACACATCTCATAAGTATCACAGTTCAACTTTTGCATGCAGAATTTGTAATACAGTAGGTTCAAATTTCAAGCCCTTCCTTTACCAACTGTGTCCTTGTGGGCCTATTCATTACCCTTTCAGAGCTTCAATTTCCTGCTTCATAAAATGGGGAGAACAGCACCTGTCCCATACGGTTGCTGGAAAGGTGAAATGCAACACTGTGTGTGAAAATTACACATTTAGTAAATGTTCTCTCTATTCACTCTCCCTTCTTTCCTTCTCTCCTTCAACTCTTTCAGTTATTCATTGAGGATGCCCTTTTTGTCATTGCCATTGATAAAGATGCTAACCAAGTCCAGAGCACCACATCCCTGCAGCACACCACTAGATGCCTCCCTGAAAATTAAAAAAAACCCCTTAGTTAATGCCTTTTGAACATGTTTTGCTGACTGCTTACAAATATATCTAAATGTCAGTCATTCCAGCCCATATTTATTTCATTCGGCTAAAGCAATAGACAATTACTGAGCATCTACTTTGTGTCAGGCACGATACTAGGCACTAAGCATAGTAATAGGAACCAGATACAAACAGAAGATGTGGCTTCTGCCCGACAAGGAGCCTACAGCCTTGGGTGGTGAAGAGAAGATAGTAAGCAAACAGATGATCATGGTTTTCACCCTTGAGGACTCTCTCCCATAAACACAGGCAAGGCACTGACTGAGACAAGTATTGAGAGAGAAATAGGAATGAATGAGGTGAAGATGGTTTGGGAACACATTCCAGGCCAAGAGCATTGAATGCATAGTTGCAGGTGATCAAGGGGTCAGTTGTTTGGAGACAGAAGTAAAGAAGTGGGAATGAGTCTGGGTTAATAATTTGGGCCAAATTATGTAGGGTGTGGCAGGCACGTGACATTATGTTTAAGCTACTGTTTGCAGGCTAATGGTTTTCACCTTCCTTTCGGAATGAGAGCCTGTATTTAGAGCAGATGTAGGTAATAACTATGTTATAAAAAAAACTCGTGCTACAGTGACTGATGTTCTGCTGGGTGTCTGTCAGCAGCAGGGCACAGGCCACGTGTCATAAGATGCTGCATTTGAGTTGATTTGGTTCTTTGCCTCAAATAGTACAGTTCATGATGCGTTAACTGAATTTTCATTTGCATCACTCCTAGAGCAGTAGTTTTGTAGACTTGAGAGGCATTCAAAGTTCTCATGGGTGAGGCTCTTAGATCCGAGTTTTAGAAAGCCGCTCCGACAGCTCTGGAGACTGGACTGAAACTGAGCCTGCTGTGAAACCACTTGGAAGGCCATGTCTGTCAATAACCAGTGAGGGTCTCATCTGAGGCCGTGTCAACAGGCGACTTCACATGCACCAGCCCTACAATTTGGCCAATGTCAAGAAGAGAGTAAGTGGCAAAACGTGGACTCAGATCTGTCTGGACTCCCCAAACTGAGGCCACATATTAACCTTCCCAGCCTCCTTTTCAGCTAACTTCTATACTCTCCTTTCTTTTCTTGCTCTCCTGTGGTTCTCCATAGTTACAAAAGGGGTGGATTTATCGGGGCATTTGTCTTCTTCTCAGGACTCTTCCTGATGCATAGTTGGCATTCAGTGGATATTTATTAATAGAATGTTTTACAATTCTTTTGGTGGATTCACCTAGCTTCATGGAAAACTACCTCCTTCAGTCTTAAGGAAAATTAGGCATTCAAGCACATGCTAGGGTTCACACATCAAGAAGATGACCTGATTGGCCCCAGAAGTCTTTAGCTGTTTCTCTAGTGCCCCAACAGGCAGTCATTGGCCACCTGACCAATCCCTATTTGACAAACCCAGTAGCATGGTACCTGGTACCTTTCAAAGTAGCCAGCTGTCCTCCATTTAATCCCATCCTATGCAAGAAGGTCTCTCGCTGCCCATGTATCTTTGAAAGAGAGGAAACCACAGCCTCTTGTTGATTACACACTACCTATGTGGTGGAGTTTCTTATCTTCCTTTGCATTTTTCTCTCTTCTTTATCTTCTTGAATCAACTTGGAGCCTTCTACCTTAAGGAACTCATACTCTCTAGTTTCCAACTTTTTTCCTTAAAAGATTCTTCCCACCAAACAAGAATCTATTGACTGCTTTCATCCCCAGCTCCCGGCTGCCGTTATCCCCAGCTCTGTGCCTTTATAGGAACCATTGCTAATTAACCAAAAAGTGGAGAGAGGAAAAGACAGGATTCAGGCAAAACATGAGCCATGGAATTACATTTTTTGGCCTCTTCCATCCTTACTTCCTATAATACCCAATGTGGAAATCCAAGCGCAGTTGGAATGGAGTGGCTGTCACTGATAAAAGGGCTGCTTTGCAGGGTGGGCACCAAGTCCCCAGCCCCACTTTCATCACCCTTCGCCACCCTGGAGGCCATCTATCGTGTACTTCACCCTCCTGCTCCCATTGTCATTTGTATTCAATTAGGTGGGAAATGGACCAACGTAAACCACTAATGTGATAAACCACTAATAAGATGCTGCATTTTGTAAATACGTGATTTAATCCTATTCAGTAGTTGGCTTTTTTTTAAGTTGATTTAGTTCATTGCCTTGAACATCATAGCTCATAATGTGTTAACTAGATTTTTCCATTTGTGTCACTGAAGAGTTCTGTGAAAAATACAAAGAGAAAAACAGCTCTTTGCAAACAATGGAAGGAAGGAAGTTAATTGAATTTACATTAGGCATAGCAATAATTTAAAGCGTAATTGAAAGTTTCAAAGGAGAGGCATGCATTCATATGTCATAAGTCAGATTTCTTTTGGATAAAATATTCAAATGTAGGACTTACTGATATATAATATAACCTCATGCTCCATTTCCTTAGGCATGTCAAACACTTTTGGATGGTAAAATGCATTGAGTTTCCTGTATTTAGAAATTCCTTAAATGAAAGATATAAATTCCACTTCCAGTTAATCTGAAAAAGAATTATAAAATTTAACTATGGTTTCTGGCTTCATATTCTATGATTCTTACTAGATTTCATGCAAAGCCTGTCATAAAAAAGGGTTCTAAGTTACTACATAATCCTCAGCTAGAGGATTAAGAAAATAATTATTTTATTTTTGATGACACGCATGTAGTAACTTTCGAACAACAAACTTGTATAGATTTTTTTTTTTTTTTTTGAGATGGAGTCTCGCTCTGTTGCCAGGCTGGAGTGCAGTGACACGATCTTGGCTCACTGCAACCTCTGCCTCCCAGGCTCAAGCGATTCTCCTGCCTCACCCTCCCAAGTAGCTGAGACTACAGGTGCGTGCCACCACACCCAGCTAATTTTTGTATTTTTAGTAGAGAGAAGGTTTCACCATGTTGGCCAGGATGGTCTCGATCTCTTGACCCCGTGATCCACCTGCCTCGGCCTCCCAAAGTGCTGAGATTACAGGCATGAGCCACCACGCCCAGCAGTATAGCTTTTTTAGTTAACAAAGATATTTGATCCAAGTTGGTTCAACTTAAGAGGTAGAACCAAAAACATCATCCTCGATGCCTCTTAGAAAACTGACCTGCAAAATATCCAGACTGGCATTACCTGTGGCTCCCTGTGGGAGAGAACTTTCTCTAGGTCATCGCTAACAATGTCATGCATGGGTCTCCAGCCTTGTGTCCATCCCGCTCTTCCCTTTCTCAGCATCTCCAGCCACAGCATTTCAGTCTTTCACACACTCAGTCCCTATTAGTCGCCCTGTGTAGCTTTAGAAAACTAGAACCTCAATTATTATCTTTCTCTCCTGAATCTGTAGCTTCACTATCAAATTAATCCTTTACCCTTGCTTTTAATTTTTTTTAATTATGGTAAATACAGATAACATAAAATTTGCCATCTTAACCATTCTAAAGCATACAGTTCAATGGCATTAAGTACGTTCACATCATTGTGCAACCATCACACCACCCACGAGGAGCCGGATTTATTATTTCCTATCCCACGCCACTATTCCCATCAGGAAACCATGCCATCTTAACCACTATTCCCATCAGGAAACCGTGCCATCTTAGCCACTATTCCCATCAGGACACCGTGCCGTCTTAAAGTGATTCCCTGTAAGATGAGCAATGGAACTTTACTTGCCCAGTAGACCCTTTGTCTCTTAGGACTGGGCAACTGAGTTTTAAAATGGTTTTGATGCATTTATATAGCACGTTAGCCAAAGTGAATTTCCTCTTTCCTCCTTGTCTTTAAACAGCTCTGAGCAGCGGGTCCCCTGTTCCACTTCTTACCACAGCTCTGGGTTGCACTCGGGTGATGGGGTCACCAAAGCAGGACCTATGGGCCTTCCAGAAATAAGACAAGTGCCAACTGTTGTGATTGAATGTGATGACAATAAAGAAAATGTGCCTCATGAGTCAGACTACGAAGACTCTTCTTGCCTGTATACAAGAGAAGAGGAGGAAGAGGAGGAGGACGAAGACGACGACAGCTCATTATACACCAGTGCGTTCATCTTAACTCATCACCAGGGGTGGGGAAGCATGCTATTGTGGAAAGACAGCAGAGAGTGGACCCAGCAGCCCAGCAGTCTGGGTTCTAATCCCTGCTCTGGTGTTGACTGGTCCTGGGTCGTAGGGCAGCTTAGTCTACCTGTTGGGGCCTCAGTTCCTACATCAGTAAGAGGAGAGGGTAAATGTCCTCTAAATGCCCTCCTTAAATTCCCTCCTAGCTCTAAAAATTACTGCCACCTCCTACCTCTTTAAGTGGCTTCTTTGTTGCTTCTCTTAGGATGCAACTTCTCCCCCACCCAAAAAAAACTTTAAGAAGTTTAAAACTCTGTCCCTGTCTAGCAAACACTCAAATACTACTCACTGTGTATGCAACAAATTCACTTTTTAAGCATACCTCAGCAACTTTAGAAGGCCTCAATTTAAATTTCTTATTTATGACCTTTAAATGTGCTAAGAGACAAGAGAAGAAATGAAGAAAGCAAAGTTCAAAACCTATCACTCTGGCCATGAACAGTAAATAAATTTTAGTTACGTGAGTACAGCCTGATATTTGGCCAACTTTTTAATAAATGAACTTATGAGAATAGCAACCATGCATTGAACATGTACTGTGTGCCTGACAATGGGCTACGGTTTTAATCTCTCACCTACATCTCACAACAACCCTGAGGCATGGACACTATTGCCTCATTTTACAGATAAGGGCAGAAAATGGAGAGACAAGGCGCTGGCCCAGGGCCTCACGTCTGCTAAGGGGCAACGCTGGGGTTTGATGCGGGCTCTGTCACATTCTGAAGCTCATGTTCTAAAACTAGTGGAGGAAGAAAGAAGAAAAGCACTACTCAATCAAGCCCAAAGCCATCCTCAGACTTGTTGCCTGCTGGCGTTTTCTCTCGCTCTCTACTTACCAGGCTTCAAATAGCTGGCTCCAAGTAAGACCTGGTGAGCTATGAAGGGATCCAAGTGATGTCAAGGAAAGAACCACACAGGGCAGCCAGAGACCTCAATGATCCATGAATGGAAGGAGCAGCTGCTCAGCCCCTGTTTGCTGTTCAGTATCCAGAGAATTAAATGTTTTATACAGAGGTTTCTCAACCTCAGCACTCCCGGCATTTGGGACCAGATAATTCTTTGGTGTGGGGCCGTCCTGTACACTGTGGGATGTTTACAGGCATCCCTGGCCTCTGTCCGCTAGATGCCAGTAGCACCCTCTGCCTGCCACCTTAGTTTTGACAACCAAAAAATGCCTTGGGATTTTGCCAGGTGTTCCCTGGGGAGCAAAATCACCACTGGTTGAGAACCACTGATTTATATCAGATGTAGGGAAGCCCTGCCTCAGCTGCTCAGAAATGCTGGGGTTGAAAAGAAAAAACCCATCCCAGGATATTGCGTGTTTCAAAGCCCTCACCTCCACTCCCACCCCCAACCAGCCCCACTTTGTCCGCCTACCTTTTTTCTCCTTCACGTCCCCCCAGCTCCAGTGTAGTTGATCTTTTCTGTCTCTTGAGATTTCCTGGTGTAGCCTTCACCGCTGAACTTCTGCAGACACAGATCCCCGCCCACCTGCTGCCTGTTGGACTCTCATCTCTGCTTCAGGTGTCAGCCCCTCCTCCTCGTGAAACTTCCCCTAGTTGCTAAAAGCCTCTGTCCTATCTCCCCCTTTGCAGTCCACTGCACCCCACAGCCAGTCCTGCCCTCCTTTGTGATGTTGCCTGCGTGCTAGACATTCCTGGAGAGCAGAGACCCAATCACAGGTTCCCCATGTGCTGTCCATGTGCCCCACACAGTGCTAGGGGTAGAGTGTGTGGCAATGGCAGGAACTCTAGGAACTGAGGCATTAACCACTTTCAGGTGTTAAAACCTTGATGACTTCCTTCCTGCCTTGTATCTTATGACCCAGGGTTGGCCCTGTGGGAGCCCAGGCAGATATGTAAGCCTTAATTGACTCATTTCTGTCTCCTACAGGCTCCCTGGCCATGAAGGTCTGCAGGAAGGACTCCTTAGCCATCAAACTCAGCAACAGGCCCTCCAAGCGAGAGCTGGAAGAAAAGAACATCCTTCCCAGGCAGACGGATGAGGAGCGGCTGGAGCTGAGGCAACAGATTGGCACCAAGCTCACCAGGTAGGACAGCGGCACCCTCTGCCTCCCTGGCAGTGGGCCTTTAGCTCTCCAGGTTCTAGCAAAAGAATTCAGTCTCGGCCGGGCGCAGTAGCTTATGCCTGTAATCCCAGCACTTTGGGAGGCCGAGGCAGGTGGATCACATGAGGTCAGGAGTTCAAGACCAGCCTGGCCAACATGGTGAAACCCCATCTCTACTAAAAATGCAAAAATTAGTCAGGCATGGTGGCCTGTAGTCCCAGCTACTCGGGAGGCTGAGGCAGGAGGATTGCTTGAATCTGGGAGGTGTAGGTTCCAGTGAGCCGAGATCACACCATTGCACCCCAGCCTGTGTGACAGAGCAAGACTCTGTCTCAAAAAAAAAAAAAAAAAAAAAGGAAGAGACAATGGAAAACATCCCATTTTGTCTCCAAGGTTGTTTCTATAGTGCCCTCTCCTTTATTTATCCAAATCTTGGAAAATTCACTTGATTCAAGGTTCAGGGAGAAATTGAGAGGCAGGTTTCCAGGGAGAATAATCATCTGTAGAAAAGCCTCCATCATCTGGCCAGGCACGGTGGCTCACACCGGTAGTCCTAATACATTGGGTGGCCAAAGTGGGCAGACTGTTTGAGCCCAGGAGTTTGAGGCCAGCCTGAGCAACAAAGTAAAACCCCATCTCTACATAAAATCAAAAATTAGCGAGATGTGGTGGCACATGCCTGTGGTCCCGGCTACATGGGAGGTTAAGGCAAGAGGATGGCTTGAGCACAGGAGGTCAAGGCTGCAGTGAGCCATTATTGTGCCACTGCACTCCAGCCCAGGTGACAGAGAGAGAGAGAGAGAGAAGGAAAGAAAGAAAGAGAGAGAGAGAGAAAGGAAGGAAGGAAGGAAGGAAGGAAGGAAGGAAGGAAGGAAGAAGGAAGGAAGGGAAAAGAAAGAAGGAAAGAGAGAAAGAAAGAAGGAAAGAGAAAGAAAGAAGGAAAGAGAAAGAGCGAAAGAGGAGGAGGGAGGGAGGGAGGAAGGAAAGAAGGAAGGAAGGAAGGGAAAAGAAAGAAGGAAAGAGAGAAAGAAAGAAGGAAAGAGAAAGAAAGAAGGAAAGAGAAAGAAGGAAAGAGAAAGAGAGAGCGAAAGAGAAGGAGGGAGGGAGGAAGGAAAGAAGGAAGGAAGGAAGGGGAAAGAAAGAAGGAAAGAGAGAAAGAAAGAAGGAAAGAGAAAGAAAGAAGGAAAGAGAAAGAAGGAAAGAGAAAGAGAGAGCGAAAGAGAAGGAGGGAGGGAGGAAGGAAAGAAGGAAGGAAGGAAGGAAGGAAAGAAGGAAGGAAGGAAGAACAGCCTCCATCATGTAATAGAATTGAGGACCTATGGAGAGATAAGGTGTGGTTTGATTAAGCACAAAGCAATCAGACAAACACACTCTCTGATATACGGTTAAGTGGTTGGTAGTGATGCTTCATTACTCCACTGGGACTCATTTTGAGTGATTGCCCTTTATGTATGGATATTACAGACATGGGCATAGCTTTATGTTATATTAAGATATTAACCACCCATGTATGTATTTGTAATCAAGGGCATGTTTATGTGACATTAGGTAACCTTTGTTGAGTACTTACTATTTGCCACCATTCTCTAAACATTTTATATGTATTACATTGTTTGTCTTTGAGCCTGTCTATAAGATACACCATTTGTATACCCATTTTACAGATGAGAATACCAGGCATAGAGAACTTTGGTTACTTTGCATAATGTCACACAGCACAGCTCTGGAATTCTCTCTCTTGAGCCCTTACTTTGTACCAGACACTGTTGTGAGTGCCTGGACATAATGTGTGGAAGTCTACCAGGGCTTAATTCTGATTCTCCCTCTTACTAGGTGTATAGCCTTAAGTAAGTCACTTATTCTCCTTACCTGTGTTTCTGCATATGTAAAAGAGTGAGTTGTGAAAATTAAGCAAGTTAATAGAAGTATTTAAAACAGTATCTGGCCCATAGCAAGCAATCAGTTACCTGTTTTCACCATCACCTTTGCATTGTACAAGTGAGAAAGGTGGTGCCTAGAGGTTATGTAGACATAGGCATCATCCAACAGTATGCCAGTATTCTTCCCTCCCACCTGATTTATTTTGCTACCTAAGAGCAGCTTCTTTTTCAAAATTAACTTGGTTTCCTCTTGGAGGATATTGTAATGGTACAGGGCTTTGTAAAATGGTCAACACTGATGGATGATTGGACGTAGTGTTATGCAGTCTTTAGAGTCATAGAATGAAAACATCTAACCACCTGCCACACACACATACATACTTTCTGTCATTGACTGAAGTAACATGGCCTTCTCTTTTAATACCTCAGTGATAGTTACAGCTCTCTAGAGAGCCTGTCCCATTGTTGGAGAGCCTTATTCTTAGACATTCTTCCAATATTGAACTGAAATCTGTCCATGCCACTCCCACCCATTGGTCTTATTCTGTGTTTTCTGCACCCTCATCCCCCATAACATGGCATGCTGTAGCATACTTGAAGACAATGATCCTGGCTTCCCCAATCTCTCTCAGGTTACATAGAACGAGATCTCGGTTCTGAGGGTGGTTGGGGTGGGTGGGTGTGGTTCTGGGCTACTCCTGACCCAGCTTGTTCAAGTTTACACATTATCCTCTAGGGAATCAGAAAAAAGAGAAGGAGCAGATCTTTTATTATAGCTCCTTCCCCTCACTTCCCATTCCTCCAGCTCTGCTACAGTACAAGGAGAGCCCCAGGTATGTGAGGGGCAAATGAAGATTTATCTGCAGATGGGAGTGAGATGCCAGAGCATCTGGCTGCCCCAGTGACCTCTTCTGTGCCAAGTGTGAGAGAGAGATGGGAAGCATAGGAAGTCGGCCTGTGAGGCTGGCCACCTGCTTGTTCACTGTGGGGTCCTTGCACCTGGTTTAGACTAACACAGTAAAAAAGGGCACCATTGCCCCAGAGCATACTCCTAAAAAGGGAGACAATCCCAGCCTCTCCTGCCTGAATACATATCCACAAGCCACCACCATGATTAGCTAGCAAAGGCAGTCACAAAACCCAGAGGTGGGAAGAGACATAAACCGTCCATGCCCTGAAAGAAGTTATCTGCATCTGAAATCTTATCCTGGTAAATCAGCCCTTTCCCAACTCTTCCCCTTATAAGGACATCCACTGAAGGTTTACCATAGTATACATTGTTCCCAGCCCTCTTTCATTATGGTGGATGGCAGGTGTATTATTCAGTTTGCTGCTATGAAGAAATACCTGAGACTGGGTAATTTATAAAGAAAAGAGGTTTAATTGACTCACAGTTTCCCATGGCTGGAGAGGTCTCAGGAAACTTACAATCATGGCAGAAGGCACCTCTTCACAGGGTGGCTGGAGAGAGAATGAGTGCAAGCAGAGGAAATGCCAGATGCTTATAAAACCATCAGATCTCGTGAGACCTACTCATTATCATGAGAACAGCATGAGGGAAACTGCCCCCATGATTCAGTTACCTCCACCTGGTCCTGCCCTTGACACATGGGGATTATGGGGATTAGAATTCAAGGTGAGATTTGGGTGGGGACACAGAACCAAACCTTACCAGCAGGAGAAGACACATCAACTAGGGACAGAAAGACAAAGTAGAGAAGGCAGCATATTCAAGCCATTGAGATGGCCTGCATCCTTCCTCTGAATCCACTTTGTCCTTCACTCTTTCAACTAGGGAGTTTCTTTCTTTGTGGTAAGACCCTTGGAAGCTCTAGCCAGATTGCAGGGACTGTACCTAAAGGACAGACTGTCAGGCATGCCTAGCAAATTGGCAAAGTTGTACAGAGATCAGCACATCAGGCAGATAGGCCATATCTATACCTCAAGGTCATTTTTGAGGTAGCACAGCCATTAATGCAGACCCAAAGAGTTTTAGGGACTATTCCCTTTAGAACTGAGAGCTCAACTCTGTGCTTCTAGCCACCCATTCATCCTGAAGCCAGGGCAGAATGAAGGGGAAATCCAAGAACCAAAAAGTGACTGTGGTAGAGAGCGAGCTACTCTGGAGTAGAAGTTTGGGTTCTGGCTCTGATTCTTTCATTCCCTAGTCATTTGCCCTGAGGGCATTAGACTAGGTCATCTGATTACTGTGTGCAAAATATGTGCTTTATGATCACAAAAAGTAACTAAAAGAATGTAGACATGTGCTGTAGAGTTGGCATTTCTGAAGCTACAAGGCTGCAGCATTCTCTGGCTATTAATGTACTGGAAATCTTAGGCTCTTTGAAAAGCATGTGGCCAAGTCTGTGGTCCTCATGGAGTCAGCAAGATAGAAAACATAATTTTAGCCTGACAGTTCCAATAACATAAGAAAAAAAAAAAGACCACGATGTGTAGCATTCTAAGAATAATCCCAAATTGAGGGTGAGGAATGGGAAACAGAAACACCAAGTAAAATGATGTCAACTTCTGCAGAACCTCCCAGCATTAAGGCAGAGTTTCTACATAAAAATGCCAAAATTACTGTGCTTCCAAAAATGTTCACTTGTTGAGGCTATTGGGCAGACTCTACTAAGTCTCAATAAGCAAGTCATCTGGATTTTTTAATAAATAACTATTTCAGTCCACTGCCATTGGAGACGTGTGGACTGCCCCAGAGACATGAACATTGGTCAACAGGGTTCACGTTGCTCCTCCTCCATATGTATACAGACTTTGAACTTCAGGATGGCACAGAGGACCAAGGGGTGGTGAATGATGCCATCCACTGGGGTGCCAGGCAAAAATTGTAGAGCTTCTATTTACATTCATTTCATATGATCCTTTTTAATATGGTTATTTGTGCCTGAATTGTAATGCGCATGGTGTATCACTGCAGTAGTACCTGTGTCTTATACATAAAGGAATGGTACCTATGGGGACATTTGCTTAGATTCGTATTGATGAAGTTCTCTTAGAATCCACTGGTTTGAGTGTCACTTCTCAGTGCTACATGAGTAGCACTTTTCATCTCCAGTGGACACACAGAGACCTCAGGGCAATCCCTCACCCCACCTACCCCGCCCCATGCAAAACCATTCTGCATTCTCTCTAGATCTCCTCTTGGGATTCTGCATCCTGAACTAGGAGGTGCCCTGACTATGGGATCTTAGCCATCAGATCTACTTCTAGTTCTGTTCATTTGCCAAGCTTTTTATTCCCACCAGAGTAATGTTCCCTCATGACTCCATTTTGTTTATTTGAAATATAATTGAACATACTACTCCAAAAAATCAGTATTAAAAAATTAGACACAGAGCCATGCTTCTCAAAGTTCATAGTTAGGGTGCCCTGTCAGGGCGACCTCGTGATCTGCCAGAGACAGCATGCTCTGGCACTTCCTCACTTTCCAGCCTATGACACTGACAGGTTGGTGAAGTGAAACCCCCAGAAGTTGGAGCTTCAGATCACTAGGTATGGGGTGTTCTGGAACTAAAGAGTAACCTAATGCCTAACAAGTTGTGCTTTTGATTCTGAAACATCCTATAAAAAGTCAGTCATTCAGTAAGTTGATAGGGCTACTCATTTTTAAAGGAAGGGACTAAGACTCCAAAACATGACCTATTTGTGGTCAGACAACAGCCAGTCTACTTGGGACCTCACCTAGGGAACGGCTAGCTCTTCAGACCCAACAGAGGATCGACTGGCCCAGTCCTCTCCAACTGAGGTCCTCTGTCCCCACCCATACCCTCTTTGTTGTTTGGACCAGATGAAAGAAAAAGCCTGCAAAAGAAAAATAAAATGGAAAGTGCCTCACCATATACACAGGAGTTTATCATCTAAAGTGAGCTCAGGAGTAAATGAGGATTGGGGCTGTCTACCTCCCTGACATACTCCTTCCCCTAAAATATCCCTTCACCCTTGAAATATCACCCTCCTACTCAGGAATGAACTATGGGCATTTTTTTTTTTTTGGCAGTCAGAGTTGACCAGAATTTTTTCATCACCTGAGCTGGAGCAGGGAGACTCCCCACTTCTAGTTGGATGCATCTCTATGTAGAAGCTCTTGGAAGCCTGGTCACTTGGTTTGGGAAAGAATATTTCTCCTTGTGATGTCCTTTTCCTAAGCTAGACATAGCCAATAATGCAGACCACTCACCTATGATTATTCCCAATGATCAAAGGAAGATACTGACTTTATTTAAGCTACTTGGTGTATTCATTTGCTGGGGCTGCCATAACAGAGTCCCACAAATCAAGTGGCATACACAACAGAAATGCATTGTCTCGGAGTTTTAGAGGCTGGAAGTCTGAGATCCAGGTGTCAGCAGAGTTGGTTCCTTCTGAGGGCTGCGAGGGAGCATCTGTTCCAGGCGTCTCTCCCGGCCTCTCGTGTTTGCTGGGAATCTTTGGTCTTCCTTGGCTTGTGGATGCATCACATCAATCTCTGCCTTCGTCTCTGCATGATGCTCTCCCTCTGTGTGTATCTCTGTGTTCAGATTTCCCCTTTCTATAAGGACACCAGTTATGCTGGATTAGGGCCCACTACCCCACCCTAAAGACCTCATTTTAACATGATTATCCCTGTAAAGACCCTGTCTCAATAAGGGGACATTCTGAGGTACTGGGATTAGGATTTCAACCTAGAAGTTTTAGGAAGACAGAATTCAATCCATAACCCTTGGAGAAGTTTCAAGTGGGTTTACCTAGAGAAGGGACCATGACCCCAAATGCATGTGGGAAGAGACAGATATTGCACAGAAGTGAAGCAGACAGTGAGGAGATGAATAGGGAGTGTTAGGAACAGGGGCGAAATGAAAAGTCCACCCTTGCATCAAGAGGCCATCACTGTTCAGCTTCAACCCCCTGTTGTTTTGCAAAAATGAAGGACTAGTTTGTTAGCTCTTCTGAAAAAAAGAATCTGGATTTTTAAAATGACAATTTCAATTTTTTTAGACTTTATAGGACTGGCACAGTGGCTCATGCCTATAATCCCAGCACTTTGGGGGGCCAAAGTAGAAGGATCACTTGAGCCCAGGAGTCTGAGACCAGCCTGGACAACACAGACCCCATGTTGACAAAACAAATTCTTAAAAATTAACTGGGCATGATGGCGTCCACCTGTAGTCCCAGCTGCTTGGGAGGCTAAGGTAGGAGGATCCCTTGAGCCCAGGAGGTCGAGGCTGCAGTGAGCTATAATTGTGCCACTGCACTCCAGCCTGAGCAACAGAATGAGACCCCTCTTTTAAAAAAAAAATGAGATAGGCAAAAATATATATTTGTGGACTGAATTCAGCCCAATGACTCCATCTCAGTTCTGGGCCTCCTGTTTTAAATCTTGGACCTGGATGGTGTAGTTTATTCTATTTATAGTATATTCATGAAGTCTGTGTGCATGCACTGCACATGCCGAGGAGACAATGAGACAGGAATAGTAGGTATGTTGTAAATGTAAATGTGAGCACGTGTATGTGTATATCAGTAGCAATTTAAAATTAGCATCTGTAGAATCCAAATTAGTTTGAATGTACAGTCATACATTGCTTAACGATGGGATTACATTTTGAGAAATGTGTCAGGCAATTTTGTCATTGTGTGGCCATCATGAAGTGTACTCACACAAACCAAGATGGTAGAGTCTACTACACACTAGGCTAGATGGTAAAGCCTATTGCTCCTCAACTACAAACCTGTGTGGTATGTTACAGTACTGAATACTGTGGCAATTGTAACACAATGGTATTTGTGCATGTAAACATAGAAAAGGTAGAATAAAAATACAGTATTATAATATTTTGGGACCACAGTCCCATATGCAGTCCGTTACCCAAAGGTTGTTATGAGGTGCATGACTTTACTTATTTGTGTGGATTGATTGTTAATCAGTATGCCATATTCCTAAAAATGAGCACTTGCTCCAGGTCTTTGTTTTAGGAATTTAGTTAGCTTGCTGCAGAATGTCTACAAGTGACTCCTGAAGAACACATTAATTTGGTTGAGGCTGGTGAAGTAGCGTCACTGCTTTCTTTTCCTTAACACCCACAGCCTGGGAATCAGACGGGTTTAAGGTTAAAGCACCTAGTGACGCTGATAGCTTCAATCTACACTGAAGGCGTGGAAACTGGCACTAAGCCCCATGGGGTAGATCAGATGTAGTTTTCTCCTTCGTAAAGGACCGAAATTCTTCCTCTTTTCTCTCCTCCTCACTACTTTATCATTACTGTGACTTAGTGAATGAGATAGTGAGATAATAGTCTGATCATCTCCATGAAACCTAGTATGTTACTCTGTCTTATTTAGAATTTCATAATATGCTAGATAGAAAAAGTATCCTAAATCTGTATTTTATACTCCTAAGTAGTCTACACCATTGTTGCTATAAGCAGAATATGAAATAATATGTACCAAGGATTATGCGCTGCTTTAAATCATGGTACGGTGTTCAAGAGAGAAAATTGAAATCCATTTTTTATGCTTGTAGCACAGGCAATAAAATACAGTAATCTTGACTTCTAAATGTAGTTTGGGTAGTGTTTATGGTTGGGGAAAATTGGTGCGGTGAGTCTGACACACCGACACCTAGCTCCAAAGTGCCAAATAGTGTCTCCCCAGGAATCTAAGGACTAATGCTGAGTGTGAGCTGGCATCTCCCCTGGCTAGGTAATTTCTTCTGCTGCAGAAACACTTTCTAAAAATAGGAATAACAATAAAAGGCTCTATGATGTCAATTCAACTTGGACTTACTTAGTGTCCCTGGATACGTGTCACTGTGAATTACCACTCCAAAGAAAAAAGGAAGGAAAATAGACTGGAGTGAAGTTTTAGAGGCCATGCTTGTAGGCCTAGCCCTTGAGGTTGTGCGCCATTATCATCACCATCATCATCCTCCTCCTCATCCTCATCTTCATCTCAGCTGTGGAGGAGCAGGGAGTGGGGCACAGCTTAGGGGGCACAGGAGAGAAACGGAAAGACCGCCCTGGTATTCGCTCATCTTCAGATCCACAAAGCCTGGGTGGGGGTGGCTCAGGCCAGGGAGACTTCCCATAAAACTGGGAGGATTCTGAGACCTCCCATAAAACTGAAGGAAGACGCCAGTCACCAAACTGAAATTGTGTGTTGGGAGCAAGTCAGGTCAGGGTGAGCATAACTTGAATGTATTTATTGAGTTCTACAACATTTGTACCACAAATGCGTGGACTTCGTGTAGCTAAGCTGCTTTCAGGTAATTTGACATCTTTTATGAACTCACTGCACGCAATAGAAAATCCTTTTTGAGAGCTCTTTGGGAATGCTGACATCTTCTGAAAGGTGCTCAGATGAGCTCAGGCTATAGCACTACCTGTTTGATAGAAAGTTAAAGAAACCACATGTTCGCTGGGGCTTATTTAAAAAAAAAATCAATGGAAGGTGAGAAAGCTGTCTGGATAAGAAGACTTGAGCAAGACGCATTGGAAGGAGGTAGAATAAAACTTCAAAACCACACATGTAGAGGTTCTGGCATTGAGCCAT
This sequence comes from Homo sapiens, assembly GCF_000001405.40. Lineage (NCBI taxonomy): Eukaryota > Metazoa > Chordata > Mammalia > Primates > Hominidae > Homo > Homo sapiens. Next base: position 13,239,640 of record NC_000006.12, read on the forward strand.
GGGTCACAGCCATCACAGGGACCTACAGCCATTGAACATGTCTCAGAGCCCTTGCAGGGATCTGCATGGCCTCTTGCCCTCTTACCCAGCCTCTAGCTGTTAAGAGCTACAGCAAAGACTGAACTCTTGACATCCTGTTGCTAGGACAGAGTTTCTGAGCCTCGACTCTGTGTGTATGTCCATGCCTGTGTGTCAGGAGGAGAGGAGGCCCCGTCTGCAAGCCCAGTACCGCATGTTGAGGAGCAGAGCCACATCTTGGAGAGCACCGTTAGTTCTCTGCATCTGTGACTTGCGGCTGCCCCGGCAGTCTGTACATTTTTCAGTGATACAGTAAGTGTGGTGGACAAAGAGCTGCCTTTTACCCAGTGGGAACACAATCGATCTTAGTGTTTAAACTTGCAAAGTTTCTTTAAAAAAAAAAAAAAGTGGCCATTCTTGGAGGTTGTGAGTCTTACTTTGTTTTATATTTCATAGCTTTTTTAAACAACTGATTATTCCAGCAGCATTTCAAATTTTGGGTGCAGGGGGTGGGGAGAGCACAGCTATACTCAACTGCAGACTAAGCAGGGAATGGATGAATCTTCTGGGCTGCATGGTCACATTTTAAGAGGCTCTTCTTAGGGTAGATGAAGAGGAAGCTTCAAAGACTGGGCTGTTTATTACTCACAGCAACTTTTTGTTCTCAGGTGATTTTCCCCTAATCTGTAATGATTGTTCTTGTTTGTTAATCTAAGCAGAAGGCAGAAGAAAGGCTGTGTTTCTTAGGATATTCGTTGTGGGTTTTTTTTTGTTGTTGTTTTTTTGTTTTGTTTTGTTTTGTTTTGAGATGGAGTCTGACTTTGTTGCCCAGGCTGGAGTGCAGTGGCGCAATCTTGGCTCACTGCAACCTCCACCCGCCCCAGGTTCAAGTGATTGTCGTGCCTCAGCCTCCCAAGTAGCTGGGACTACAGGAGTGTGCCACCACACCTGGCTAATTTTTGTATTTTTAGTAGAAATGGGGTTTTGACCTGTTGGTTGGGCTGGTCTCAAACTCCTGGACTCAAGTGATCCGCCCACCTCAGCCTCCTAAAGAGCTGGGATTACGGGCATGAACCACTGTACCCAGCCAGGATATTTGGCTAAGTGAAAGAAGAATCAATCCATCTACATTTAAAGACCTCTCAGGGCGAAGGTCCCTGATACGTGCCATTTATAACTTTAAAGCCTGTTGCTGTAGATAAAGTGTTTCCCCATCAGCACCTCATCTAATAATCTCCATGCAACCCTGCAAGGTGGCCGCTACTGGGAATCCCATTCTGTAGATGAGGAAACTGAACCAATGATCTCAGAGATGATAAAGGGCAAAGAGAAGCACATCTTCTAAATCCAGGGTTTTCCTATTTCTGGCAAACCCACTGGAAAAAATGTGTAGTTTGGTTGAGTTTTTATGTTGAACAGAGCTTCCCTCCCAAGGACCTGTGGTTTGGTAGGTATCTTGGTGGACTGTAGAGTTCCACAGTGGCAGTGGGTCAAGCTATGTGCAAATGTACTCAAGGGAGAGATAAGGCATGGAATGAAGAAGAGGAAAGGAGATGTTCTTCTATCTCGGGCTTAACTGGGCTTTTTTATTGCATTTCAGTAATACCTGTGCCTGTTGCAATGTGGGGAACAGAGGTCCAATGCAGTGGTTCTCCTGGTGTGGCCCTTGGGCTAATGGCATCAGCATCCCCTGGGAATTTGTTGAAAATGCATATTCTCAGGCCCCACCCCAGACCCAGAATCAGAAATTCTTGGGCCGGGTGGGAGGTGGCGTGCAGGAATCTGCATTTTAACCAGCATGATTCTGATGCACACTAAAGTTTGAGAAGCAATGGGCTAGTAAGAAGAGAAATCAAAGACTTTGGAGCTGGACCTGAGCTTGAAAGCTCTTCACCACTTACTAGCTGGGCCCCTGTCAAGCCTTAGTTTCCACATCTGTAAAACGGACCTCCCACACAAGGTCATCCAGAGCACCAAATGAGTAAGACTTTCAACTGTAGTAGATAATGAATGCTAGTTCCTTCCCTCTCCTGGTGAGTCTGAATACTGTATCATGCTCGACTCTTATTAGAAAAAGTAATGCTGGGTGGGCGCAGTGGCTCACACCTGTAATCCCAGCATTTTGGGAGGCCGGGGCAGGTGGATCACTTGATATCAGGAG